>NC_000006.12:91398261-91549199 GCF_000001405.40 Homo sapiens | reverse complement strand
AGAACAAGAAGCATAGTGATCACACAGGAGACTAACAAAAATATTGTTACATATACTATATTATGGTTTTTAATTTTTTTTTTAATTCAGTCACATTTATAACTCTGGTCTTGGCATCTTATCTAAGTTTGTCTCCAACAATCATTTTTGCCAGTTGCAAACTTCAACAAAAACATCAATGCCATCATCTCTAACTGATTACAAAATCTGTTACCTTCCAAAATAATTTTTTACTCTCAACTAATATCCTTGATTTTGCTTCCCCTGAGAGGGAATGGGTAAGAAGCAATTAGATAATTTTTATGTCTACATGTTGTTTTCCTTCCTTTTCAAGTGGGTGAATGGTCCCAACAACTAAATCAACAATTAAGCCAGCCCCTCCGCCTATGGCTGACATCTTCTTTCTTGTCCACTCAAAGACTTTGAAGTTGCATATTAATTTATTCTTCTCCACAAGAAAATTTCCATTAGCACACAAGCACACTCTGCTATCTCTTGTGCTTTAAAAATATTAATAAATAAGAGACACTCCTTTGACCTCATGGCATTTTTCCACTACATCTCCCATTTTTCATGTTCTCCTTTGTAGAAAAAGTTATCAAAAATATTTCTGTATCTGTTATCTTCAACTCCTTAACTCCCATTTTTTCATAATCTTCTCCACCTAATCTTTTATTCCCAACAACCAACTGAAATTTTCTTGCTGGATTCTTCAGAATTAATAAACACTTCTAGATCATCCTTTTTTTTCTTTTGAGCTTTGGCAGTGTTTAAAATAGATATTTCCTGTTACTTGAATCACTGTCTCCATTTGACCACGTGAATGGCAAACTCTCATGATTTTCCTCCTGCTGAAAAGATAACTGCTTTTCAGTCTCCTTTTTGGGATCTTGCTTACCTTCTAAAACTCTAAATATGAATTCTGCAGGCCTTAGTCTTAGTCTTCTCTTTTCTAACCACACTCACTCACTGAATGACCTAATTCAGGATTCTCTTTGTCTCTACCCCTTATTTCCACGTTTATGTTATCACATTGCCTACTCAATAACTTCACTTGGATGTTTACAAAACATAGAAAATTTATCTTGGCCAAAGGACATGTTCTTCCCCACCATCTTCCAACCAGCTCTTGTCTCAATGTTCCACATCTAGACCAACACTACAAGCAGCCTTCACTCTTCCCTCTCTCCACTCCACATCAGCAAGTGCTTTAAACTTTGCCATCTTTGGAATAGATTCTGAACACAGATACTTCTTCTGTCTTTACTACAAACATCCTAGGTCATCCCATCATCATCCTCACCTGTATTCCTGCAATAGATGGCTAAATAGTCATCCTTTTTCCTCCACCCCTTGTAGACTTTCCTCCAGGTGGAGCCCAGGACATTCTTTTGACAATATAAATCAAGTCATGACACTTTTCTGCTCAAATTGTTTCAACAGCCTCATATTACAATTTGAGTAAAGTCTACTGTCTAAATTCCATGGCCTGTAACTCCCTCATTGTTCTGATTTATACCTGTCTCTCCAAAAGTATTTTCAACCTTGCTCCAGCTATCTTAGCCATCTTGCCATTTTGTACTCATTTCAACTTCAACTCACTTGCTTCTCTGACTGCCTGATCCCTCCCCAACACACAAACACCTCAATTTCCAATGTCTCCTTATTTTCTTTAGTTAGGTTTCATGCCAAACACTTCCTCCTCAGAGAGTTTTCTTATTATTTTGTACAAAATAACTCAACTTTTCCCTAGACATGCTTTACAATAACACCTATTATGTTAAACTATGTAATATGTAGGTGACCACTTTCTCTCTGGCTCTGTAAAAGGGGACTTTCTCACCACTTCACATTAACATCCCATATACTCTACTGCTTCTCCTTTAAATATATTTCCTTCTTACTCTACAGTGCTCTTTTAGTCTTATTCAATAATTCTCTTAATTTTATCATTATCAGAGTTCTGTATTTGCCTCTTTTCTACTTCACTCAACAAATCTATCCCTCTTCTTCTCACTTACTATCTTTGTTTAAATTACCATTAATCTCTGCCTTTACCCATTTCTTTGTCTTCAGTCAAGATCTGTATGCAGAAATCCACATCCATCTGTTTAATTACTGACTAAGCATGCCAATTTGGACTCAAACAAGCACATTAAATTCAATATATTCCAAATAACTCATAATCGTACCATTTTCTCGTTTTATGAGATTTAATCCTCCTTCTATTTTCTGTATTTTGGTTACCACTACCATGTTTCCATTTACCCAAACCACAAAGCTTGGAGCCATTCTTCATTTTTGCCTTTTAGACATCTGTCAGATTCAATCCATTGACACCTTCTCAAAACCATACACTGCTCTCTACTTCCATTTCCAATATATAAATTCAGGTTCTTGTCATTTCTGGCCTGGACCATGAAAAGAGTATATTCTTTTATGTACATTTGCTGGTTTCCTTCCAGCAGCCATTCTTACTTCCAGTTCACTTCCCACCCCTGTCTCTTCTTTTTAACAAGTTTCATAATGTCCTTTTGGAAACCAAGTTTCCACCATTGTGTCTCTCTCCCCAGTAGTTCAGGTCAATGTAATTCCCAGCTCTATATATTGGCTCTGATCGGCGTAAACTAATGTGCATAATCTCATTCCTCATGCTGCAGTGTTCAAGTTAGGCTAATAAAACTTAGATGTATTGTTTAATCGTGGTGGGAAAAAAATACTCCTCTTCAAATGTGAAAGAGCAAAAATATAATCCCAGTTATTGGTGGCAGCCATTTTGTACCATAAGGGGAAATAGCCCAAGGAAAATCAACTCATGAAGGAGTTCAGAGTAAGGATCCACAGAGAAATGGAGTCCAAGCTCTGACAGAACACATACAGGGATTTCACCTTGAAACTAGATATGAGCCAGTTAGACATCTTTAGGCTATAAATGAGCTGAGGTTGATTTTCTGTTACTTGCCACCAGACGTGCCCTAATTCAATCTGATGGACCTCACACATCTCATAGTTGCTACAGGACTGACCACAGGATTGGTCCTCTTAGCAAGGAAATTTGATTTTGTCACAGACAAACATTTTTTAATAGGTTTGGGATAAAGTGTAAACTTTCTAACATTGCACATCCTACTTTATGGATGTAGTGAATTTCTGTAACTTCTTTAGGCATGCCCTGGTTTTCGTGATGTAGCACCTTCACCAACGCTGTTTATTTCAAAAAAGCTTTTCCTCCATGGATGCTTATCTCTAAGACTCATGCTAAATGCAACTGCCTCTGTGACAGCTTCTCTAACCCCTAAGCACAGTTGCAACTATCTGTTCTGCATTGGCCCATCTGATTTCTGCTATGACTGAATTTATGTTTTTGAAATACTACTCTTGTCTGTTTCTCTCCTGGTATTATCATTATTGGCTTTCTTATGTCTTCCCTCAACTACCAATGGTTTGTCTTATCCATCTTTATGTTTCTATGACATCAGTCACATGCTCAATAAATATTTCTTGAATGAATCAAACAAATAAGGACCCTGCCCTCCAGTGAAATGTACATTCTAGAAGTGATATGCACACAAGTCTACAAAATCAAGGTTAAAGTGCTCAAGGCCATGGAAATGGTACAGAGAAATTGTCTCACAGGAATTGGTTCTGACACTTTCTAGCTGAAGTAATGTAATGATAGATATTTCAGATAAAGGACAATGAATCCCAGAAAGAATTCTTCTAACTCTATTCTTCCTCTAATACTTCCTCTACATATGATAACCTTGAAGTGAAGAACCACAAAGAAAATAAAGTACAACAGCTGCACTCCTGATGATGTGTTCTCCTTGGACATAGAGGACATGCTTTAATCTCTTTCATGGAGGCAGCAAGTTCACAGGTAAGAAAGTTTTAGTTTAGCCAGTTTAATTATGGGCCATAAAAATGATCTTCATTTTCTGCATTGGTCTATTAGAATTTAAAACTTATGAAGGAAAACTTTTAATGACCAAGAGCCTAGTGCTTTTATTTAACATGATCTTGTTAAAAACGTGTTTTTTCCAGGTAATGTTTATTTTTAGCCCTGACTAAAATTCTACACATTGAAAATTGTTTTGCATGAATTTAAAAGCTTCAAAAATCAGTCTATTTCCATGACTAGTAAAATCAGAAATGAAGAAAACAAAATTGTGTCATAAAATGAATGAATCCTAATTCCTGCATTTGTTTTTCCCTTCAATAATCTACATTATAATATTCTAAATTGTTTTTAATATTTACATCATGAACACATTTTTTACAGTAATATCCATTGGGCTGGCAAACTCTGTGAACCTAAGAACCACAAGCACAGGCAGATATCATTTTTTGAACAGGGAGCATTTTGTTGCATAGGTGTTTTGGCAATTGTGAAACACTGCGATAAAATCCTTTTTCATTGGTACTCAGTTTCATACTTCTCACTGTGTGGTGTGGTGCACAGCCTGCACTCAGACACTGAGCTACATACAATGTGAAACATGTGGGAATAGTGCCTGATGCAGCTGCCCTACAAGGTGTTTTTCCATCATCATCACCACTGCTCCCCTCCCCTGACAACCCTCCCCATCACTCCGTCTCAACAGTCTATCTTGCAATGTAGACCTTCCCACGATTTTCAATTTTCTTATTTGAAATGGGGTCAAAAAGCATATGTTCTATTTTAAAAGTGTACATTTTATAACTGTAGACACATAAAAAAGAATATTTTCCAAAAAGCGGAAGTTGTCTACATCTCACTTTGGTACTAAAGACATATACTTGCCTCTGGCTTTCACATTATTTGTTTCCAGCAATTAGAGAGAATAGAAATGGGATTCCACGTGCTCTACATAAAGGCCACTTTGAAAGAACACTTTGACATTTTTCACCTCATCATTATTTTCATTACTTAATGCATAGACTTAACCAATTTTTTTAGACCCTAAATATAGTATTTCTAAGTATTTTTACTTGTTTCATCTCATTTTCCCCTGAGTGTTTTAGTAATGTGGCAGGCTGAGGCAAATGGCTAGGACCCTTGTGTCCTATGTCTGGTATGGACTGTGTGGTCAGAGAGACATTTTATCCTCAATTCTGTTACACATGCCTCCTGTCAGCAAGAGGGCAACCCACATAATTTAAGTTTCTCCATCTCAAAAATGGTAGTTATCGTGTGTATTTTTCAAGTCTCTCATGCCAGAAAGCGGGTAAAAATTCTAGTCCTGTACCTGACATGCACCAGATACCTCCCAATTGTTAAGTTTGCTTTCTCTGGATTTCCCCATTTTTTCTTTTTCTTTCTATATATATTTGAGTCACTTAGAGACTTAATGGGTTCCTAAAAAATGGCATGCAAAAACAGAAAATCTATTTCTAAAAACTTAGCAAGTTCTTTATCATACATTTTCTCTACCGTTAACTCCCACTATAACATTATAGTATATATTTCCACTTGAAAACATGATAAGGTAAGAAGAATGAATAGATAAAAGTCAAATTTCTGTTCTGTCTTTTTTCCTGGATTTCTTATTGTATCCCTCTTGCACTAAAAGGTGAGTATTTTTTTAAAGTGTGTTTGTTTCCTCTGCCTTTTATTCTCCCGTCATTCAGAAGTCTAAATATCTTCCTTGAGAGATATTATAAAATGTCTAAGAATTGGCTCCTTCCTTTTGTTTTGATATTTTACAAATAACCTACAATATAAAATATTCTACTGCTTAAGTAGAAATAGGAGATACTAGAAGAAAAAAGTTATTTTACTGATGTATTAAGAGACTTCAAAATAGAGTACCGAAATATTATAATGACTTCTCCTGTGCATTATTAAGAAAAAGATAGATATAATAGTCAAATGGACAGAGATCATTTAGGCCTGAGATTTAGGCAAAGGCACTGCATAGAAAGTTCTAGAAGACTTTTCCATTTTTGTGGCACGCTTGTTTGCCTATTAGCTGTCTGCCCACAGGATGCTGAGTTTGTTACTATATCAAATCATCCTGCTTTTCAGTAAAGATTGCATACCTGCCCAGCTGATAGCAAGATGAGGAGTAAATCATATTTAGTCTAAGTCAATCGATTCATCTTGCTGGTGATTGATGTAGGAATCGGTGTGACACAATTTTAACTAATGAGATATAAGATTCTGTGGGTGGGGGGATGAGAGGAATCATTTTTAGGAAGTAGGTTTATTTGTGTGTTTTTGTTTTTTTGTTCTAAGAAAGATGCAGAAAGAATGAACTCACCACTTGCCTCTCAATTGTTTAGAAATTATTGTCTGAGACCACGGCATGTAGGTTCCTCAGGACGAGGAGGTAACAGGATGAGAACAAATGTCAAGATACTAAGGAAGGCAGAGTGAAGAGACAGAGATAAATCTGGGTCTTCACTGAGAGTATTCAGCTACAGATTTAGCTAGCCTTGGGAATTGATTTCAGAACCTATTACTGTGTAGTGTGTGTGTGTGTGTGTGTGTGTGTGAATTAGCACAGCTAACAAAGGCTGTTACTTGAAGTTAGAGTCATGCTAATAATTGCATCAGTTCCAAAATTAAACGTTAAGGATGATATGGGTACAGATAGCTTTAAAAGATGGAAAAGGGTATATGCTCTATTGCCTGCATTTGTAAGGATTGACCATCAACTCTGGGGAGTTTTGAATTACCTCACAGAAATAAAAGGCTTATGTAATAGAAAATTACTGATTGAAATCCCAGGCTATCAATTATATGCCAGGGAAGTCATCCACTTACTGATTGATTACATTTTAGACTGGAAACTTCTCACCTTTTTCTTTCTGGGACTCTACTACCATGTTATTATTATTCACCTGCATCTTTGTTCTCCCTTGCACAAATATTTTATAATACCATCATCATTTTTAATCATTCTGTGATTATGACAACATGCTGGATACAAGGCCAGAGAAGACTGTTGTTTCTATTAGCCTTTTCTTGCTTAGTGTTTAAAGGCAGGATAGTTAACTCTGAGCTATCCTAGAGAGTCACTATCAAGTACTATTTACAAGAACTGTAAAATTCATTTATTATGTACAGAATAAACCATTAACAAGCAAATGGTTAATATGGGATTACTGAATGAGAAAATTAAAATTAATATGGTAATAAGTTAAGATCACCCTCAATTTATATTTACGGGCAGAATATGGGGGATTGGAGAAGTAAAACACAGTAATGGTAATGGCTCTTCTTGTAACAAATGCTCTGCAACTGACAAGTATACAGAAAATAGAGGTAGCAGTATATTTTTCATTAGAAGTCAATAGACTCTGCGAAGCTGTCAAATGTTAACTAGCTTTCCTCCTGCTCTTTGCAAAAAGGTTAATGGATACAGCACATTTTCCAATGTGACTCTGAAAAACAAAGAATTACAAATGGTATGTGGTGGTATTTGTTTTTCTTCTTTTTTACCCTACACTATGTAAAATCTAGAAGCTGAATGCCACATCAAAGCCCTCAGCTATCAAAAATTGTTAGTGACCACATGTATGTGTGTGTGCCTGGCCATGGAGGTGAGAAGTGATGGTCTTAAGCTGTATTGGTAGGTTGTAAATGAATCATTGTATTGTAGAGAAGTTTTATTTGAGATGAAACTTTATTTGGGTATCAAACCTTTAAGCTTAATTATTTGTAGGAAGATGCTCTTTATTTACCATTTTTCTAGTTTATTCTATAATATTCTATAGGTGTTCATTATAAAAATACATCATTCATACCAAAGAGTATAGTTAACCTACATGCACAAATTAAAATGACAAAGTTAGCAGCTTTTAGTGACTTCAGGGAATGAAGAGAATGTTATTAACACAATTTCCCTCTTCTGTCCAGATGTACACATTGAACCACATTTCAGATTGACCCTTCCTTTGATATTCTTCATGGTTTTACCACGTACATATGTATTCCTAAATATGACTAGGTCTTGTCTTGCATCTTTTGGGATAGTTTATTTATAGAATCACATGGTAGGTACTCCTGTGCATCTTGCTTTATTCACTCAGTAGTTTGCTTTGGAGATTCATTGTGAGGGATTCTTCCTTCAGTTTTCTCGTCTCCAGGAATTTGTTGCTACACACACTGCTGCTTTAAACATTCTTGTGGATGTTTCCCGGGTGTACTTGGGAGATCCACCGGGGTGTAGATCTAGGAATGAGACTACTGAATTGCAGTAGTTGTACGAGTTCATGTTCTCAACAAGAAATAAAAACTTCTGAGCTATTTTCAATTTATTAAACTTTTGCCAGTCTAGTTAGTGGGTGTAAAGTTTCACATACTGTAATTTGTATTTGCATTTAAATGAAAACAAATGAGTTAAGCACATTTTCCACAAGTTCATTTTCCATTTTTGTTTTGTTTGTTGTGGTTATTTTTCTATTAGTATATTTGTGTATTTTTATTATTTTGGAATGCATCTTTACATATTCTAGATACTAACACATTGTTGGCTGACTACATGGGAAATTTGTATGGACATGATTTGTGCTTTCACTATTTTTATGAGGTACACTGCTGAACAACTCTTCTTAATTTTAGTGGTGTCAAATATGTCAAATTTTCATTTACGTTTTTTGCATTTTATATTTTCCAAAGAAAGAATCTCCTACTCCAGTTTTATAAAACGTGACAAATATTTTCTACTTAAAATTTTTACATATTTCTTTGCACAATTAATGTTTTAATCTATGTAAAATTGTTTGTGTATGTTTATGGATAAACAATTATCTTGTACTATTTCCTAAATAATGTATCTTTTTTCTCAGGAGACTCTAATACTACATTCATTATAGATCAAGCTTTCATTCAGGCATTCATTATAGATCAAGCTTTCATATTTATCTGCATCTGCCTGTGTTTCCTTATCTTTTCTATTCGTGTTTTTCCTACCTCAAAAGTATTTGGATTTAAATATTATTTTGTAATGTGTCATCTGATAGAAGAATATCTGCCAACCTTTTTCTTCAGGAATATGTTAAATATTCTTAATCCTTTCCTCTTTTATATAGATTTTAAAAATATGTTTTTAAATTCCATGAGAAACTCTGTTGCAGTTGATAGGAATTAAATGGAATTTGGGGATATTAGAGACTTGAGTCTTTCCCATGTTTGGTCTTTCTGCCCATGAGTATGGTGTCTTTATATCACTCCATCTATTTCAGTTTTCCTCAAATTCTTTGATTAATTTTAATTGTGTTCTTAAAAAGATAACTTCTGTAATTCTGTTAGTTTCACTACTATTTCTGAAATACTTTGTGACTGAATGTGCATACATATATGTATATCAATATGTCTTAAGTGCTTATGACATATTTAAGAAATTCAGTTAGTTTTATTGACATATTTGACAGTTCCCTAAATTGTTTTAATTCTAATAATTTTAAATTCTAGTTCAGGGGTTGGCCAGATAGTAAACATTTTAGACTTTGGGGGCCATATGGTCTCTGTAGCCATTATTCAACTGTGCCATTGTAGCACGAAAGCAGCCATAGACAATACGCAAATGAATAAGCATGGCATGGCTGTGTTCCAATAAAACTTCATTTACAGAAACAGGTGGTGAGCTAGCTTTTGCCTGTGGGCCATTGTTTGCTGATCCTTGTTCTAGGCTATCATATCAACTGCCAATAACAGTTTCGTTTCTTCTTTTTAAATTCTTATTCCTTTTATTTTTTTTTATTTCTTAGCTACATAGCTAGGAAAGTCTAGAATAATATTTAGCAGAAATATTGACAATGTACATTTAAGTCTTGTTTCTGATTTTAAATAGTATGGTTCTAATAATTCACTGATATATGAAATTTGCTGTAGGTCAGTATAGATAAACTTCATCCGATTATGAAAGTTTCCCTCTAGTCCTAATTTTGAGCAGTTTTATTATGATTTTCCTGTCGCATCTATTAAGATATTTGAATGGTTTTCTCCTTTAATCCCACTGTTTTGTAATTGATATAGTGGATTTTCTAATGTGGAAGCAACATCACATTATTTGTACATTTGTAAATCACGGTATTATATTTTTAAAATATTGTTCAGTTTTTTTTTTTTTTTCTCAAAAAGTTTGGCATCTACTCATATGAGTGAAATTGACCTGTTTGTTTTCTTTGTCTTGGTGTCCTTGTCTGGTTTGGAATGAAAACTAAAAGAGTGATGAATATTAAGTGAGTGGTGAAGTATTTCTTTTCTCTTATTTTCTAGAAGATTTTTGTATACTATCAAATTAACTCTTCTTTGAATTTTTAGTTAACTTCGATAAAACTCACCATGCCTCATATATGCCAAGTCTGTCCCACAGACTCTGGCCAGCAGATGAAATGAGTACTCAGACACAGGTATGCAGTGTAAGAGCAGCTAGGTGACTGCCTGGCTCTAGTGTCTGGAAAGCAGCCCTGAGAAGCTGGAGCTGCTTGCTTTGATTCAGTGCAGGCACAATGCTGAAAACCTGGAGCAAACACAACCTGTAGGTAATTAACATTTATTGTTCCCCTTTCAGGGAATGTCTCACGGCGAATCAAATGTCAGTTCCCGGTCAACATAAGAAAACAAGCCTGTTTAAGAAAAATTCCCCTACACTCCCTTGTACCTACTCCTTGCCCTCTGCCTCACAATTACAGAACAGCTACCTTCAGCTGTTCTCCCCCAAGGGGCTCTGCAGAACCTTCTGAACTTTCAGAAGGTTTGCACCCTTTCCCTGTAGTTTTTCCCACGACTCTGACCGATCGCCTACACTTGTACGCTCTGGGAAGATTCTTAACCAATGATCCGTTTTTTTAAAATAATTACAGAATTATGTCATTTTTGTATTATTATTGCTTCCATTTTAGCAATGTGCAATTTTCTAGAAATCTAAGCTTTCATATTTGTTGACATCAATTTATTCTTGCATTGTTTAATTATCTTTCCAGATTTCTTCAACATTTGTAGTTATATACCTGTTTTTATTCTTTATATTATTTAAAAAGTTTCCATATGTTATTTGATCCATCTTGCCAAAGCAGCCAAAGTTCATCTTCCCTAAGAACTATGATGTACCTTTATTAATCCTCTGTATTATTTCTATTTCATTAAATTCTCTTAATTTTCATTACCTTTTACTTCAGTAATATTTATTCTGTTTTTCTTTCTCTAACTTCTTTGAATAAACATTGAGCTTATTAATTTTTAGCTTCTTTTTCCAAAAGAAACAAAGCTACAAGTTTTCCTCTGCCCCTTTAAAGACATCCTATAATTTTTAGTATTTTAATTATTGTTTATGTATTCAGTATGATCTTATTAATATATATTTATATTATGAATTATTCTTTGACAAATGAGTTATTTGGAAATGTGTTTTTAAATTTCCAAGTATAGAGATTTTATATTTATTTCATAACATTGATTTCCAACTTTAAGACATTGTGATTAGAGATTGTTTCATATTATTCCAGTTATTTGATTCTTTATTGCCTAGTATCTAGTTAATTTTTAGAATGTTCCAAGTGTGCTTGGAAAAAAAGCTGTATTTTCCAGTTCTTGTGTGAAGGGTTCTCTAAATATATATCATATTAAACCTGTTAATAATGTGTACAAAAATTGTAATACCCTTCCTATTTCCACTTCCTTAAAATATCAACTAATGGGAGAGGTGTATTACAATCTTTCTCTAAGTTTTCCTTGAAGTTCTGTCAAGTGATACACACACACACACACACACACACACACACACCTCTACACATTAAGGGCAAGGAATCTACACATTAGGTGCATCTCTCTGTTGAGTTGAAGTTTGTATCCATTATTTTCAAAAATGCTTTTTACTTGAAGTACATTTTTATATTAATGTAGCAGTCACAGTTTTAATTATTTCGTTTTTGTCAAATGTTATTTTTTTCTTACCCTTTGAAAACTTCTACTATTTATGCTTCATCTGTGTCTTTTGTAAACAGATTGAGAAGAGAATTTTATAAATAGATTCTGAACATATTTGTTTTTAAGGGAGGGATATAGCCCATTTGCATTGAGTAAATTAATGGCATATTTGTATATGTTCCCCTTTTGTCGATTTTTCCCCATTTAATTGTTCCTCCTCTGCTAACCTTAAATAAACACTATTTCTCATATTTTTATGGCCATACTTGAAATTTAGTATAGCATATAACTGAACAGTCTTTATGATGTCTTTACTACACCATTGAAAAACAAATGGCTTTTTTGTGTCATTTCCCAAATTATACTTTTTCCAGTGTTTTACTTTCATCCTATTTTGTTTTAACACTGGGTCATGATGTTATTGTTTCATAAAGTCAATGTTTGTGTAGATTTATATGTTCCTTTTTAAAAAAGTCTCATACTGCCCTTCTGGGGAAAAAATATTTTCTCTTCCTGAAGTTCTTGGAAGATCCTTTAGCAAGGATCTATTGTTTATAAATTCTCTCAACTTCTGTGAGACAAAACACACAAACACACACACACACACATACACACACGCTTTATCCACTTTATTTCACTCATTTTTAGAAATGTTTCTAGGCATATGATTCAAGTTATTTTTTGTCAGATCATGAAGGTATATTCTATTCCTTTCTGAGTATAAATTTCTAGAAATTTACTTTGTTTTGGAATATGTTAGGCTTTGGGGAGCTGAAAATTACCTTTCTTCAGTTCTGGAAAATTCTGTTACTCGTTCAAGTATTGCCTAGTACTTCATTTCAATAATCTCTTCCTCTCATGGTTTGCAGGAGGTTTTAGTAGATTAGTGCTTGACCTGTTCACTTTAATTTCTCCAATTCTTAATTTCTCTTTATTATTTTGCATCTGTTTTTCTTCGTGATACAATCTTTGTTAATTTTTTAATTCTGTCTCTCAGTTTATGATTATTCATTCAAGTTTGAATTATCTTCTGTTTAGCTAATTTATTCAGGTTCTAATTTCAATTATTATATTTTTCATTTTCAGAAAAGAAAAAGTTATACACAGTTCTCTTTTTGTCTACCTGAACATTTGTTATGTTCAGGCATAACTTTACTCTGTCCTCTTTTATTTCTTTAAATATACTAACCAGATATATTTTATAATAAGTATCTAATTATTCCAAACTGATTTTGAAGTATTGTTACCAATGTTGGCTGGTTTTCTTGTTTATATTTTGGTAATTATTTGAGATATTTTCTTCAAGAGGATATTTGCCTAAGATTTTCTCAGAAAGCACTCCCAACATGTTCAACCTCTTAAAGATTGACTTGGTATCATTCAAGCCATAAAGAGAATGTGAATATTAGCCTCAAACCCAAATGAGGACCAATCACGTGCTGAATTATCAGGGGAGATCTTCCCTTTCACCCAGAATCAATGTCCAGAGCAATCGACTGTAGATGCGTATTTTTTTTTTCAAAAAAAAGTTATTGCTATTACTAATAGTTTAAAAAATTCCTTCTGCGAGGTAGGGCTGTTTGTCTAGATCCCTGTTTCATTCCATGTGTCTCCTTTCAGAGGTTCTGGCTTTGTGCAGGCTTCAGACATTGTCTTATGTCCCCTACACATATAGCCCTTTAAAGGCAGTGCTGTGGACCACATGGTGTAGGCAGATGGCCCAAGCAGGCAGATTCCTGTGCTCATGTATCAGAATACATAATCCTGGTAATTTTTTGCCCATGGGAATTTCCTCATTATGTAGTAATTCAGTTATATATTTACATACTATTTTTATGAAACAATACTCCTAGATGTTATAAATATTTGATCCACAGTAGTGCTAAATCAAAAATCGGGCAATAATTATTTTACGGGGCCACAGAAAAAGGTCATCGATTTTATACTGGAATGATCATTTTCCCTTTTTATAGTTAAAATTTTAGTCACTTGAACCCTTATCAATTTATCATGTACAAACAATTCCACATAATTATTTCTGCAAATCTTTTAAATGTTCTAGGAGGTCAGTCATCATAGACATTATGAGGATAGAGCCTATGGCTGTATTATTTACACACTATTGTATCCCTGGTGCCTAGAACAGTGCCTGCCATATAACACATCCTTGAGAAAGATTTTCCAAATGAATGAATTTTAGATGTTATATATAAATATGCAATGAATTTTCAACATGTCTTCCCCAAATACCACTTCCCCGAGTCCTTTATAATTTATATCTAATCTATTTTTATGTTTTAAATCCGCAGTTAGCCTATTTACTTAAACACATGCTAATCAAGAAATAGCATACACAATTTTTGTTCTGTCATTATTTTTAAAAAATGTGAATTAATAGAAATCCTTTTCAATTATCTTTACATACCTTACCAGCTTCATTGACCCTGAAATAATCTTATCTGAATAAGCCCTCTTTAGCTTTTCTATTTCCCTTTGGTTGTCTGGCTTCTCTAATACTTTAGAGGGCGCTCTATATGCATTTCATCTTATTGGGTACCTGTATAATATTATTATCTGCTTACCTTTCACTTCATTTTTATACATTGATATAGTAAGCTATACGGACATGCTTAAATTCTGTAACTGGACTTAGGTTTTATGACTAATGTTTTCTGTGACATTGGGGAAAAGTCTCCCAATCCTTTTATTCTGTCAAGACTTCCAACTATGAATATCCATCAGAAATGAATATTTTGGTATGAAAGCCCTTCATTAAGCATAAGATATTAAGATAAAAAGATATTAAATGATCTGATTTGTTAATGTTGTTTAATGTCTGTGAGTATTCTGCAGCAGCTTCAATGAAACCAGTCTCCATACCATGCAAAACACAAACTTATTTCATATGGAGTAGGTAGAACTAGAGAGAATTTCAAATTTTATATCATATTTAACTTTACAAGATACCTTAAAGTTCAATGTAGAAACATATTTAAAACTCTGGCCTGATCTTTTTCAGTAAAAATGCATTTGTATGCAAATTATACTGTACAGTGTACACCTGAAAGTGTATTGCTCTGCATTTTTCCTAAGCCCCAGCAAAATAGTTAAAGGACGTCTGAAGGATGTTTGATTTGAAAACGCTTTTGAATAAGAATGTAAAATAAATTTAAAAACAATTTCTTCAGGCTTGCCATAAGATTGGTATGTGGTATAAAACTGGCTCAATATTCAAAAGGCATTGTTTTCACTGACCTTATTAGTGCAAATGATGGCCCATGGCATAATTTGTTCTACATGCACAAGGCAATATGGGATGTGTATATTGATGCCAACATTTGGCATGAAGTAGTGTTTTCTGACCTGGTCAGTAATAGAAAGACCAGAGGTGAAAGGAAGGGTAAAAGACTAGAAAGACCAGAGGTGAAAGGAAGGGTAAAAGACTAGAAAGACCACTCACCTTAGAAACTTAAGTATAGGGCTTATATTTTTTCTTTGTTATCCACTAGGGGTATAATTCTAGAGAAGCTTTTAATTGCCTCTATGACTTGATTTCTTTATTCATAGATGTATATAAAATACAGCTAATAAAAAGTACTTAAAATAATATCTAACATTTTTAGGCTATATTTCAAATCAAATATCCTTCTAAATTACATTCAGGGAAACGTCCTCTGTCTCTAGACTAAATCTGATTAAAACTGCGGCTAAATTTACTTGCATTATTTGTCCTTATCTCTAGGGATTAGAGGAAAACAGAAATGCTGAACTACTTTAAGTTTTCCTTGTCTCCTTAAATTAAATGTAGTATGCTCTTAGAAATATGAAAGCCAAACTGCATGTAGAGCTCCTACTGATCTACATCAGATTAGAAATCAGTACTAACATAATGCTTAAAAATCAATATTTAATATATATTCCAGTTAAATTTTCTGGTGTGAATTTAAGTGATCAGAAAAAATATCTGTAGTCAGGGATATCACTTAATATTAATTGTGATACCTGTTCATAAAATTTCATTTGGGATAAAAATAAATAAATGAATAAAAAAAGAAAATGAACATTGTATTAGTATATTTTTATTTTCTCCGCTATATACAGGGAGAAATCAAATTTTCATTAGTTATTTTACAGGAGATACTTATTGAAAACAAAACAATCAAGTGTATTGGTTTTGACCTCAATACTTATGAAGGTTTTTTTTTGTTACATTTATAAAGATTTCACATAAAGTTTACAGTAATTTTTGTGTTGAAAATTATTCAATAAAAGTTTCATTAATAGTCTTAAATATGCCTTTAGATAGTAACCATAAATTTTAACCTTGAATCCACTAACCCCAGTGTATTATTGTGCATAAGATACCAAGCAAACATATCAGAAGAGTGACTGGCCACAATATACGGCAGATTTCTTTTAATTGAGAGGCTATATTTCATTTCCAATCCATGCTTGTTCTTGTTGCATGCTACTTCAAAGCTTTCCCTTCAGAATTATTGTATAAAGGGAGCCCATAAAATAACTACTTGGAATTGTTACATATCACATTTTCTGGATACAATAGGTAGCATCATCACTGTCAAGATGGAAATTGTTTTGGAGTGTTGCCTGGTAAATAATATAGTCTGCAATTCTTCAAGGGCACAAAATCTTTAAGGTTAATATGAATGTGAGTCTTATGAGAATAGCTTTCTGATGTCATACTAGCGGCAAGAAGCAAAAAAAATCTATTTTTAACCTTAATTTAAATGGAAAAAATGCGTGGGGTAGAGACTTTTTCGCTTAATCTAAATTTGGTCTCTACCCAGATATGTGCTATTACTGTGAATTAAAATCTATGAAGTACAATGAGATGCGCTGTCCATAGATGTAATTCATTTTAAGTCTATTCATCTAAGAAAAACATAAAATTAGCGATGCCCACAATATCCACACTTACACACCACATTTAATTTAGATCACCCTTCTCTACCCACCCAACCTCCAACTTCTGTTTTCTTTGCACACTCTATGGTAGGAATTAATTTAATTATTTGTCTCTTCAATTAAAATGTATGTTTCTTAATATCAAAAATCTTTTTTTTTTTTTTTTTTTTTTTTTGAGGCCAGGCACTGTGGCTCATGCCTGTAATCCCAGCACTTTGGGAGGCCAAGGAGGGTGGATCATGAGGTCAGGAGTTTGAAACCAGCCTGGCTAACATGGTGAAACCCTGTCTCTACTAAAAATACAAAAATTCGCCTGATATGGTGGTGGGCACCTGTAATCACAGTTACTGGGGAGGCTGAGGCAGGAGAATTGCTTGAACCCAGGAGGCGGCGGTTGCAGTGAGCCGAGATCACACCACTGCACTCCAGCCTGGGTGGCAGGGCGAGGCTCTGTCTCAACAAAACAAAACAAAAAAAAAAGGAAAAAAAAAGAATCTTTTCATTCAACTTGGCATTCCTAACTCCGAGGTTCATACTTCAAATAAATTGGCTGCCTGATAAGATTTTGTAAATAGTGAATAAATGAGGTAGAGAAGGGAGGAAAAAGAGTACAGAGACGAAAACATAAACTATACAAACCATGGTGGAAGCCTCTTTCTAGGGAAATGCATGTAAGACATTCCGAACTAATGTTCTTTGTAACTTAACATTTCTCTATGCCCATCTATCAAACAGTGCAGAAAAGGGGTCTGCAATCACTAGAGAGGTTTAAATCTAGATGGGGCTGAAAAAAAATAAGCACATAGTTTATGCAGAGCAAAGTTTTTTTTATTGGGTTTTACAGAAATAGATGCTTAGTTGTGACTGAATATCTTCTTTTCTGAGTTATTGTGCTTTCTAGCTGCAGAAACCTCAGGCAAATGACATAACCTCTGTGACTGAGTCCCTATTGGCAAAATGAAAACAAAAATATCAGCCGTTCCTATTTTAAAAAGCCAAGAAAATCAAATGAGTTAATGTGAAATAAGGTGATGGTCATGTTCTATCAAAAATATTGGACAAATTGCATAATCATCTTGTTATTTACATCTTAATTTCTTTATAAATTATCTAAACTCTGAAAATATGCTTCGGATTGTGAGATAATACTTAGTAAATCTTATTAAGCAATTTCTTTCTCACTAAATTATTTCATTTTATATTCATGAAATAGGTTAATTTAGTGATTTATTACGATGCTAAATCTAGTACAAATGTTTCACAGGTTGTAGTTACAGAACAGAGAGCAAACATTTGACTTGCTCATAATACTGCACCTGAGAGAGACTGAAAACCTCCTCTAACATCAGATGAAATAATTTCAAATCACAGAAGATTTTATACTATTCAACAGAGAAATCAAAGGCTCACAGAGAGATGGCAGAAGACAAAATGAGGTGAAAATGTAATTATGAAAGTCAAGCTAACATAGTTCATTTATCAAATAACACACCTGTGCAATTGCTGCAGTTTACATATGCATAATTGTAATATGATGTTCAAGAAGAATTAGGAGGATTTGTGCCAAGCAATTTTAAACATAAACATTAAACCTTAAAGATTATTTTGGCCTTAAAGATCATATAGACATTGGCAGAATTTTTAATGAGTAGTGACTGGGCTGAGCTACACAGATATAACAAAGGAAAAAAAAAGAACAGGAAGAAAACTAAAGTGAGCCTTCCAAAAGGAAAAAATAAATACATACATATATATACATACATACATGCTTATTAAAGAGGTATATCAAAGAATTAACATGTTTAAGTTACTGCCAGCATCAGATTCCATTTACTTAATAGTTTACTTTAAAATACATTAAAAACACAAAGAAAACTGTAAAATCATACTCTATAAACCACTTGTAAAGAGAAAAGGGAAATGGCCTAGCATCTAGAGTCTAAAGCCTCTTAAAATAAGTTATGAATTGCCCTTTTTTAATCAGGATACAGGAGAAGAGAATAATTTCTTCTGAGTTCAAGCACTTCAGAATTTCTGGTGTCAAGTGGCAGCCTACAGGCCTTGGGAGCCAGGTTCCTCTCCCTTGAAGAAGTTTCTGTACATGTACGTTAGATGCTTACATGCTCTTGAATACAGACTGTTATAAGGGCCACAAAGAAGAGATCAGTGAAAATAATTTCTTACAGAAATAGGCATTACCCCAGGAGCCAGTTTTAGGCTGAGAGTAATAGAGAGATAAAATAGAAAGGTCATGACCTTCATTCTTCATCTCTCTACAACTTGATGTCTTATGCTTAATATAAATCCTTCTGGCTAAAATATAGACTTAAAAAATATTAAAAACACCAAACTTTGGTGAAGTGTGTGGGTGAGTGGGGGAGGTAAGTTTCCTGTGGAACAGAACTCGGATTACACCGAGGGTATCAGCTCTCTCTGGAACAAAAATTTTTTGTATGATGTACTCTTGGATACTTCTGTCTATGTTGTATGAGCTCATCAGTTAATTCAAAACATTTTGGAATCAAGAAGGAAAGTACAGTTCAAATTGGATCCAATATTTGCTAATTATTTCATCTATATGTTATTATATTCATTCATTTTCATCTGGCTTTCATATAAAAATTTTAAGTGACTTTCTCATTGCACCTAATAAAATCAACATTCTGATACCAGTAGTATCCCAGTTATTACATCAAAATAACCTATATAATTCCTAAGTTCATTATTTTACTTTTCTTTTTATTTAACTATTTCATTAGTTATGTATTAACCTGTTTTATGCATGATATTTAACTCACTTTTATGCTGATTTGCCCTCAATTCAATTATCTGTGAATTAAGTTCAGCCAACTGACGGCAATTGACCCAAAGCAAAAGAATAAAAAGGAGAATCATGAAGCTATAGTTTGGATATTTATCCCCTCCAAATCTCATGTTGAAATGTGACCCGCAATGTTGGAGATGGGGTCTAGTGGAGAGTGTTTGGGTCATGGGGATGAACCTTCTTGAGTAGCTTGGTGACCTACCCAAGATAATTACTGAGTTTTCCCCTCTGTTAGTTAATGCAAGATATGATTGTTAAAAACACCCTGCCTCCCTCTCCTCTTTCTTGTTCCCTCTGTTGTCATATATCTTGATCCCCTCTGCCTGATTAAAAGCTTCCTGAGGCATCACCGAATGCCTAGCAGATGTTGGCATTAGGCTGCCTACATAGCCTACAGAACTGTAAGCCAAAAAACCTCTTTTCTTTATAAATTACCCAGCCTCAGCTATTTCTTGGTAGCAACACAAAGCAGACTAACACCCATGACCTCTCCAATTTTAGCCCAATTGATGGAATGGCACAATTTACCTCATGATAAACCATACATGTAACAGACAAAACAATAATAGATCTAAACAAGGTTATAATCTACAGAACTCCCATAAACACAAAAAATAGGCCATACTGCCCAAAGTGATTTATAGATTCAATTCTATCCCCATCAAGCTACCATTGACTTTCTTCACAGAATTAGAAAGAACTACTTGAAACTTCATATGGAACCAAAAAAAAAAAAGAGCCCATATAGCCAAGACAATCCTAAGCAAAAAGAACAAAGCTGGAGGCATCATGCTACCTGACTTCAAACTATACTACAAGACTACAGTAACCAAAACAGCATGGTACTAGTACCAAAACAGAGATATAGACCAATGGAACAGAAAAGAGGCCTCAGAAATAACACCACACATCTAAAACCATCTGATCTTTGACAAACCTGACAAAAACAAGCAATGGGAAAAGGATTCCCTATTTAATAAATGGTGTTGGTAAAACTGGCTAGCCATATGCAGAAAACTGAAACTGGAACACTTCCTTACACCTTATACAAAAATTAACTCAAGATGGATTAAAGACTTAAATGTAAGACCTAAAACCATAAAAACCCTAGAAGAAAACCTAGGCAATACCATTCAGGACATAGGCATGGGCAAAGACTTCATGACTAAAACACCAAAAGCAATGGCAACAAAAGCCAAAATTGACAAATGAGATATAATTAAACTAAAGAGCTTCTGCACAGCAAAAGAAACTATCATCACAGTGAACAGACAACCTACAGAATGGAAGAAAATTTTTGCAATCTATCCATCTGACAAAGGGCTAATATCCAGAATCTACAAACAAGTTAAATAAATTTACAAGAAAAAAAAAACAACCCCATCAAAAAGAGGGCAAAGGATATGAACAGACACTTCTCAAAACAAGACATTTATGCGGCCAACAAGCACATGAAAAAAAGCTCATCATCACTGGTCATTAGAGAAATGCAAATGAAAACCACAATGAGATATCATCTCATGCCAGTTAGAATGGCGATCCTTAAAAAGTCAGGAAACAACCCATGCTGGAGAGGCTGTGGAGAAATAGGAACACTTTTACACTGTTGGTGGGAGTGTAAATTAGTTCAACCATTGTGGAAGACAGTGTGGTGATTCCTTAAGCATCTAGAACCAGAAATACCATTTGACCCAGCAATCCCATTACTGGGTATATACCCAAAGGATTGTAAATCATTCTGCTATACAGGCACATGCACACATATGTTTATTTCAGCACTGTTCACGATAGCAAAGACTTGGAACCAACCCAAATGCCCATCAACGATAGACTGGATAAAGAAAATGTGGGATATATACAACATTGAATACTATGCAGCCATAAAAAAGGATGAGTTCATGTCCTTTGGAGGGACATGGATGAAGCTGGAAATGATCATTCTCAGCAAACTAACACAGGAAGAGAAAACCAGACGCCACATGTTCTCACTCATAAGTGGGAGTTGAATAATGAGAACACATGGACACAGGGAGGGGAACATCACACACCGGGGCCGGATGGGGGTTAGGGGGCTAGGGGAGGGATAGCATTAGGAGAAATACCTAATGTAGATGACGGGTTGATGGGTGCAGGAAACCAACGTGGCATGTGTATACCTATGGAACAAACTTGCATGTTCTGCACATGTATCCCAAAACTTAAAGTATAATAATAGTAATAATAATAATGATAATAATTCCAAATGAATTTGAGGACTCTCTTAGGTTCTGAATCATTCATTTTAACCAGCATACATATGTAGTATTATACAGTATAATATATAATGTTGGAGTACACAGTATACTATATGGTATTACACAATATATTATACAGTAACATAGAGTATAATACCGTATATTGTACAATAACCATTTTAAAAGAGTTAACAATAATCTGTAACAATAATCTGTACATATTTCACAGTTGTCTTTATACCTCACTTAAGTTTTCTAAACCCATTTCTTCTTAGGGTTTTCCCAGATGATTATAATAGTTAACCTCCTAATGCCAGACTATGTTCCAGAAATTGCTTCAAGTGCTTTAAATGAATAATCTAATAAGCATTCTGCTAATTTTCACACACTTGTTATATGAGAAGGGACAATCCTAGCACATTCTGAAAGATAATTTTGCCCCATCTCCCTTCTAAGAACTGATAAAATTAGAGAGCCCTAAAAAGGAAATCATGATAGATGCAGGCTATGCAGCTTGTAAATGGCAGAGCCAGGAGACAGGTATCCCAACTTCTTTCCTCTTAGAATAGAAAGCTGCGGCTTGGAGTGGAAGTCCTTTGTGCCAGGCCCCATGGATGCTATGTGTGCTGATACCCAGGGGACCAGCAGGTAAGGATTATGGAGTTGGAACTTGAAAGAATTATGGAGACTGTACAAAAAGAGGTAGCTGGGTACAATACTAGGGGCAGCAGGCCTTAGAATAATTACCTGAAGCATGTCACGTATCTCCTAGAAGTAAGCCTTTACTAGAGTTTGAGTAAGTGAGTAATCAGATGACATATGGGTCACTTATTTTGCCATGTGGCTTTTATTTTTAACAGATAATTAAACTGAAACATAAAAAGTCTATGTGGTCCCTAATATTATAGAGTTAATTATGGAACTGGGATATAAACAATTTTGCAAAACTGTGCTGATAATTTCTACTTTGTCTAAACAGTAGGGTTCTTTATAAAACCAAGTTAGTAATTATATGGAATATATAACTGAACATTTGTTTTAAACCCATCTTGCCTGAGATGGAGGGCTTTTCCTGGACCTGGACTTTTAATGGTAAAACTGAGAAGGTTCTGGCAAACCAGGAAGAGTTGGGAACTTCGGCTCTATGTATATTTATTGTATTACATCAGTTCATGGAAATTCTGTGGACAGAGGTCAAGAATATTTTGAGTTGCCAAATGCAGGTTCTACCTCAGAATGAACAGTATCTGAAACTCAGACTAAAGAATGTTGTATCTTTGGGCCAAGCGCTGTGGCTCATGCCTGTAATCCCAGCAATTTGGGAGGCCAAGGCAGGTTGATCACCTGAGGTCAGGAGTTCGAGACCACCCTGGCCAACATGGTGAAACTCCATTTCTACTAAAAGTACAAAAATTAGCTGGGCATAGTGGCACGTGCCTGTAATCCCAGCTACTTGAGAGACTGAGGCAGGAGAATTGTTTGAACCCAGGAGGTGGAGGTTGCAGTGAGCTGAGATAGCGCCATTGAACTCCAGCATGGGGGACAAAAGCAAAACTCTGTCTCATAAATAAAATTAAATTAAAATTAAAATGCTGTATCTTTATAACCAAAACCTGATCATAATAGTTCAGGCATGGCTGAGAGAATGACGACGAATAGAAAAGAGTGATACATCCTAGGGTACGTAGAGTAAAGGAATTTAATTGATCTGTGAGAGAAGAAGGGAAGTCCTGGCAAACACTGCATTAAGCCATGCTAGGCTAAGGTCATTTTAAACCAGGCACATAAAATTTAACATTTTTGCATATTAATTTAATTGTTATTGTTTTGTTTTACTTTTAGACATTTATACTACAGTAAAAAGAATTAATGAAAAACCCAGCAAAAGAAACTCAAAAGGAAAGCATTCAAATCTTTATAGACCACAATTTGCTGAGAAGTAAAACTAAAAATTGAAACATGGCAAAACAGGGCATGTTTGGTTTAGATACACCTTTAATCTCACGACCATTAGATATTCATTAATCTGATTTATGTCATGGTAAGTGGGTTTCTAGCATGGCTCAAGAGATGAGAATTCTACTTGCAAGTCCACTACCAACAGTAGGAATGACATCGAGTCAATCGCTTTTTTCTCTGTTGAGTTTCAATTGCTTCCTCTATAAAGTAGGGCCTTTGGACTGGATTTACAAGTTCCTTTCTAGTTCAAACATCCTGTAATTTTTGAAAAACAAAATTCAGATTCTGTTTATTTGGATATTTATTTATATTTGTATCTAGCAATAGAAAAATGACATCCTTGGCCACCCAGTGAAATTGGGAGGTAAGTAGCAAGGGGTGAGATCTAATTGGATAGATGTCTTTTTGAATCCCACCTCCAGCACTTACTGACTAGAGCCACTCGGGTAGTTGTAACCTCTTAAAGGTTAGACTAAAAAAAAGCCTAAAAGACTAAAATGGCTTAGACTAAAAAAAGTCTAAAATGGGTCTTTTGAAAATGATGTGAATTTTAACCAATTAACAGTGTAATTGTGATGATTGCTGGGACAACCTGACAATGTCTGGCACATGGTAAATAGTCAATAATTTTTGTTCTTGTCTGCTTTTTTTCAGTTTGGACTAACATGATAAATATTTTGTACCTAAAAGATTAAAACATGATATACAACATGCAAAACAGTAAATTTCTACTGTCCAATTATAATGAGTATTTACACCCAACCCCGTCAGAAAGGTCACCTGTTTGTCAACATCCTGATCTGTCTTTTCAAACCCTAGATTAAGCTCTCTTCAAAACATTCAAATATAAAGTGAAATAAACAATACAAATATGAAATCTATAGCAACACTAAATTTCTCTTTTGAATTTCTATAAATACTTATTCTTAATGATTCCCTGGCAATTTCAGTAATTAGTATACATGATTTAAATGAAAGCATTTTTGGCTCAATGACAATAGCTACAGATACATTGGTTATTTATTGTATGAATCACTGCAAACCACTTCTCCTTGTCTATCCCTACAGTAGTGTTAATTTGTTCTCGTAGTAGCAAAAGAAAGCAGTTGTCCTATCATATCAGCCACTCTTTTGGCAAAGAATTACTTTAATTTCTCATTGAATTTATGTGAATGCACTAAAGCAGACTCAGGTCTTGAGTGGCTCAGTTTGCTCATTCCCCACATTTACACACCTACAAATATACATATGTATCCTCCACATAATTATTTAATGCATATACGTCACATACACATGAACATATTTACACATATGTAATGCTTTAAAAATGTTACTGTATATTATAGGTGTTGATTTCATTCAAAGCACACGGACATTGTTAACACCTCATACACTATCCTAATTTAGGGAATCATTCTCAAAAGAGGCTGAAAAAATTCCAATTTGCAATACCATGTAAGCTCATATGGAAAGCCTTATCATTTTTTAATGAGTGGTGCCCTGACCTCTTCATTCAAGGTCAGATTGTGAAAATGTTAAAGTGAATCATAGGCATGAATATTCATTTGACACGCAGATACATACACACCAATCTTTGTTTTCGTATAAGTTACTGGTGTGGCACAGATTTCTCATTAAAAAAGAATTTTTGTGGTTAAAATCTGTTGCTAGCTTATCAAAGCACCTGTCTGCTTTTACAACACATATGGCATTCGATCCAGAATGCCACATGGGTATCAGTTTCTGGATAGACTTTAGCACTCTGAAATACACATCCAGGATCTGTCCCTCCTGAAATTAGATTACCAACTTGCAATTTGTTTTATCCATGTCCAAAAGGCTTTCATGCAGAGCTGAGGCTCTCTGGGCTGTGAGTGAACAATAGCTCTGTTCCCTCCTCATAGGGTGATTCTTCCTACACAACTTCAAGCTACTACCTTTGTCTTCTGTCACCTGAATTGCTGCAAGAGTGTTCTGATTGGTCTGCCAGAATCTAGTCTTGCCTCTTTCGAATATGTTTTTTACATCACAGTCAAATTTCATCATGTCTCTCTCTTGGTTAAAGCATTCAATGGCTTCCCAACGCTCTCAGGATAAAGTTCAAAATTATTAACCTCACAGAGGTACCCCCTTGTATTGTATCTCTTTAGCCTCTGCCTTGTGATCTCTTCTCCAGCCATAATGAGACACTTTCAGTTCCCAGAATTTGTTACATGTATCCTTGCTTCCAGGTTTCTGCACAGTCTATGGCTCCTGCCCATACTGTTAGTCTTCCTCCTCAACTACCTCTAGAGCTTCACTGGTTGAACTCAGTTTCTTCCCTTGAGGTGTCAGCATAGCCATGAGTCCCTCTAATGATCCTTCCCTGACACCTCCTCAACATTTTCTCAAGAGCTGTTGAGATGTTCCTATATGGTGCCATAGATTTTGTACTTCTATCCATACGTAGGTCTTGCTACTATAATTGCTGGTTTACTTGTTTGTCTCTCCCATAAGATTTTCTTATAAATTCCTTGACTGTGAGGAGTATATCTTATTAGCTATTATATCCCTAGCAGAATACCCAGCACTTAATAAATGCTAACAAATATTGTTTAATGAACAAAATAATTAAAGTTAGTTATGACACAAGTTATGTGTTTATGAGATGTGTTTATTAATTAAAATGCCAAACAAAAATTTCATTCCAAAGCTAGGAAATATGCCCTAATCAACAAATGAGAAATAGAGAAACTTAAAATCTTCATGATCTGTACTATTTATACAGACTTTTAAGTTCATTTTCATTTGAAATCTTTGATAATCAATTATACTAAAAAAGCAAGATAAATAAACAATAATCTAAAAACCTTCCTTTCTTCTTTCTATTTTAAGAAAAGAAAATATGGGGAAGTTACCCTTATTCCTAACCTTTGCTGCTGACTCCCCATCTAACTCACTTTACCTATCCTGATGTTATCACTTCATTTACTGTCCTGGTTACCTTCTGCTGCATAACAAATTACCCCAAATTTAATGGTATAAAAGTGACCATCATTTATTATTGTCATCTCTCATGATTCTGGGACTTGAGAAGGATAAGCTAGGTGATTGTTGCTCAGTGCCTCTCATGAGGTTTTAGTCAGATCCTGTGGCTGGAGTTGGTTTGATAGCATCATCATTCACATGTCTGGTGATGGGTCATGACTGGCTGTCAGCTAGAACTTTATGGGGAGCCTTTGGCCAGAACATTCCTGCATAGTCTTTGCATGTAGACTGGATTTCCTCACAGCATGGAGGCCAGGTTCTAAATATGAACCAGAACCTCAGCAGAAGTTGAGTGACATTTCCAAACTTAGTCTCAGAAGTCAGCAATCTTATTTACTCTGCATTTTAATCTTGAGAAAGAAGTTTGTAAGACCAGCCCATATTTAAAAGGAAGAGAATTGGAGTCTACTTCTTGAGGGGAGGAATATAAAAAACCTGTGGATACATTTAAAACCATAAAATTTACTTTCCCTCTAGGTTCCAAACATTCTTCTTTCTAGTTGGCATATTCCTTCTTCACTTGTCTCTCAGTACACATAAGCTTCCTCTGTGTTTAGTTGTCTATTCTCAATACACATTTGTGTGCATGTTTTTGTTTATACCTGTGAGGTGAGCTCAGTATGTTGTAGAAGTAAGTGTGCTTTAGCATTTATGGTCATGTGTCCACTTATGATCATGTGAATGAACACATGATTATAAATGCTAGGGCACACATACTTTAATGAGCACAATACAACGTAATGAACATGCTTGTGCTGAATCTGAAAGGATGAGCAGCTGTGTAAGTGACATTGGTGGAAAGGGCAGCCGTGTAGTCACATTGGTGGAAGTATGCAGACATTCCACTGTGACCTCCTAGTGGTCACAGCAAACTCCTCTTTCCTTTTCCCTATAAGAGTTACTATCCTTCACAGAAAAAAAATTAAAATATTTCTTTCTAGTTTGGGAACTTTAATTTTTTAAAATTGTGGCTTACATTTTCTGAATCAAGAGGGATAGTTTCTCTTAAAATACTCTTTCTGGGGTAATGAAATGTTTTGAAAATAGTGGTGATGGTAGTACGACATTGAGAATATGACAAATGCCACAGAACCATGCACTTAACAATGATTAAAATAGCAAATTAAATCATAATTTAAAAACTTTTTAAAATGTAACAATCTGAGAAGACTTTTTTTAAATAATAATGTTATAGACCAAAACCATTGAATTATATACTTTAAATGGGAAAGTTGTATGTTATGTGAATTATATCTTGATAAAGTTGTTTAAAAATGTTTATGGTAAAGACCTTTCACTTTCCACAATTATAGAGAATTATAGAGGGCTTTTACTTTCCACAATTATATACAGGCTTAACATAAAAAAGAATGAAGTCATGTCTTTTGTAGCAACATGGATGAGACTGGAGGCCATTATTCTAAAGGAATTAACATGGGAGCAGAAAACCAAATACTGCATGCCCTCACTTGTAAGTGGGAGCTAAACACTGGGTACACATGGACACAAAGAGGAACACAATAGACACCAGAGACTACTAGAGCGGAGAGAGAGGAAAAAACTCTTTGGATGGGTGTAGAATTAAAACAGGATGCTATGAATTGTGATCGTGTGATCCATCCCCCATTTGCTATGCCAAGAAGCTGAAGAGCTTTAACTGAGTCTCGCTGAAGGTAGGAGGTTGAATTGGACAACTTTTTTTAAATTTTTAAAATTTTTTAAAATTGTTATTTATTTAATCCTTTGAGCCCAACCTGAAATGAAAACAAATCATAACCAAAATTGGTAGTTTGACTGAAAAACTACCAGTTGGGTACTATGCTCACTATCTGGGTGGTGGGATCATTCACACCCCAAACTTCGGTGTCACACAATAGACCCATGTAACAAACCTGCATATATACCCCCTAAATTAAAAATGAAAGTTGAAATTATAAAAATAAATAAATACGAAGGGGCTTGAGTCATACTCTATTCAATATTAAAAGAAACAAAATTGGCTGGGCATGGTGGCTCACGCCTATAATCCCAGCACTTTGGGAGGCCGAGGTGGGTGGATCACCTGAGGTCAGGAGTTCAAGACCAGCCTCGCCAACAAGGAGAAACTTTGTCTCTACTAAAAACACAAAAATGAGCCAGGTGTGATGGCGCATGCCTGTAATCCCAGCTACTCAGGAGTCTGAGGCAGGAGAATCACTTGAATCCGGGAGGCGAAGGTTGCAGTGAGCCAAGATTGCGCCACTGCACTCCAGCCTGGGTGACAGAGCAAGACTCTGTCTAAAAAAAAAAAAAAAGAAAGAAAGAAAGAGAGAGAGCGAGACAAAAGAAAGAAAGAAAGAAAAAGAAAGAAAGAGAAAGAAAGAAAGAAAGAAAGAAAGAAAGAAGGAAAGAAAAAGAAAAGAAACAAAATAATTATATATGTATATATTTCAGACCAATATGCTTGAAAACAATGATATGGGGTTTTCTGGTTCTATAATGTGTACTTTATTGGCCCATCCTTAAGTACTTCATGTTACCTTTTAGCCTCCAGAGATGTGTTAGGTCTTTTGTGTTTTTGTTTGTTTGTGCTGTGAACAATTATCAGAAGCTCTCTAAGCCTGAATAATGGTTGCACTACGTCTATGCTCACACGAAATGACATACCCAAAGGACAGGGAACTGTTCTTAACTTAAACACAAGAAATCTATGTCAGGCAGTGAATAGTTACAGGTGACTTAAACAGAAATTATTTTCAATTCTGTATATAACCTTTTTCTCTGTTTCATTTCTAATAACTTCCATCATTAAAATTCTTGGCTCCCAAGTGAAAATGTGGGAGTGGAATCCATATATGGAAATATATATGTGGAACAAAAAGTAAAAAAATGAAAACATGTGGGTGTGGAACTTCTTTGATTATAATTTGTTTTCATTTCAGGTTGGGCTCAAAGGATTAAAAAAAAAAAGTTGCCCCATCCAACCTCCTACCTTCAGCGAGGCTCAGTAAAAACTTTTCAGCTTCCTGGCAAAGCAAATGGGTGATGGATCACACAATCATAATTCACAGTGTCCTGTTTTAATTCTACCCTCATCTAGTTCATCCCATCCCATTTTATCAAGTTCTTATTTGGTTTCTCCTTCAGCTAAAGTTCAGCTTGCTAGTGTGTAGAAAAAAATTTCACTGGTTTGATTAATCAAAGTAGGCCTTTTCTGTACCTATTGATGTCTGTGCAGAACATATAGAAAACATGTCAGAGATCTGAGCTCCAGATTCTAGATTATATAGTTAGGAATATGAAACAGCCCTAAATTTGTTCTCTAGACAGTAAACAATTAAATCAATGAAACATCTAAAAAAAAACCTCTCCAGATGATGTAAGCTGGCAACAACTATTCAAAAAAGAACTTTTTAATTAGATAACCAAAAAGTACATGTTATCTAAACTATATGTCCCATTTTACTATTTTTGGAACATATTAGTTACATCATATTTAGTTTTATCTCCTTTAATGATGAACTTAATAGGACATCAAGGCCTTTTTTCTAGGATTGTGTAAAATAAAATACAGTGTGTTCCCCAAGACCCAGGAGGGCAGGTACCATAGACTGCTATACATTTTCCACAGCACTGTTGATTTTATCACTAATAATTCCATGTTAGGGAACCACAGATCAGGGATAAATAATCATTGGGTTTGGGAAAATCAGATTTTCCTATCTCCAAAGTCACAGTTGATAATGATACCTCCAATTTGCATTAGTCCCAGTTGATGCTACCTCAAATTGCATTAGTAAACAATACACTCAGCCTGCATACTTTGCAGGTAAGGTACATACTATACACATGAGATAACTATGCCTTTTCCTTTTCAGAACAATTATGTTGTGTTTGCCTCTCTTCTGTGTAATAAAAGGCACGCCCTGATGAATTCCCCAAAATAAAGGTAATGACATTTTCACCTATAAGAAACAAAACTACCAGAAATTCCACAAATCAAAACTCTCTTGATGAAATTTAAAGAAAAACATGGGCAGTACACTACATTTGCAATAGAATAAGATCAAGAAATTAAAGTTTCAAAGTGTCTTCTTCTTTCTTAGTATCTCCCACGGAATGTTTTCTAGTATTACAGAACCTGGGAAAGGATTCTCTGCCTTATCAAGCCTACTTTCTTTCATTACAAATATTTGACATCCTCTCTACTATTCTGAAATCAAATTCATAGATAATATAATCAACCAGTACGTACAATTTCAAAGAATCAATATAACATCATGCCATGTAAAGGAGAAATAGGGATGTAATTTATCATACAATAATGTATAGTTCACATGTAAATGCTTAAGAACTGCGCTAGAATACAAAATGAAGTGGTCGTATGTTTGTATCTATTAGAAATACTTTGAATGAAAGAGCTACAAAAGCCTGCTGATTGAGGTGTATTGGCTACTCAAATTCTATTATGATGACAGTTTTGGTAATGGGATTTTCTGTTATATGACAATTCTTTTAAAGTTCTGAACAAATTAAAATGCAATCTTCTCTAGGTCATACAATATTTATATTCCATTACATTATATTCAGTACATATGTTCAGACAAAAAATTACTTTGTGTTTACATGTATAAAGGAGTTATGTTTTAGACTCAGTATATTAAAAGGGGTTTGTGATCCACAAAAATATCTGATATGATATTTCAAAATCCTGAAAAAGTTAAGACAATTTTTCAACATGCTGTTTTTCCTTTTCAATGCTGGACGGCTGACAACCCAGAGTCTCCCGGTAAATGGCTCTTTCCCCCAAATCTGTGACAATAAAAAATGCCTTCGTAAATTTTCAAAACACCTTTTGGGAAGAAGCACACCCACCATTAGAACAATGTTCTAGGTTTTCCAAAGGTGCTGTTCCAGTGCCTGAAGCCATCCCTGTACTGCCCTGGTCTCTCATGTGGCAGGCCCTCCTCACTCTGCTCATGGCCAGTGTCATTACTCTCAGGCTTGAATTCTTTACAGCATGGTCAGATGCACCGTGCTAGCTGGTTCATCTGGTGCCTTTTCACATAGCCCCAATATTTCTAGATGTTACCCCCTACCCATTAGGGTGCCACCTATGGCACCTATCAACGAGAAAATCCAGAGGAATTCCTCCTGATTTGGAACCATCATTCTTTCTGAAGCTCTTGCGGCTTCCATAGCTCCTACAGGTCTCTTCGTGGTCTTATAAACCTTGATTTTGAAGTTACCTTACCCATGCACTCTTCTATTTTCTGATACACAGACAGACCCTGAGCAACAAGATTATTTTGTTCCCTCACTGATGATTTGCTTCTTCTCTTTCTGAGATCACATCCTCAAAAATAAAAAATAAAAAATAAAAAAAAAGACTTCATTCTAACTCTGATGGTCTCTCTGTGTCTTAATAAGATTGGATTTGTTTTCCCAAGGAGACAAACCTATGCCCACTCAGGGACAGTCTAGGGATTCAATGGCCCTCCTCTAGTTAACTTTTGTTAAATACTGCATTGAATAATTGAATCTAGGATGCTGGTGACCGGTACTGGCCAGCAGTTTCCCTCAGACACACCATTCCAGGAATAGTGTCCTCAGCCTGCTTTCATTCACTGTGGTCAGCACAGAGAGGAGGCTTTGTAGGCCACAAACAAAATTTCACAGCTCCTCATGTTTTGAGTGTTCCATGCTTTTATTTTCTTCCCTTCCTACCTGACATATAAAAATAAGAAGTTGAGGTAAACTGGAAAAAAAAAGCCACACTGCTCTCTACTTTGCCTCAGCCTGGGACAAATTCTTCCCCAAAAGAAAAATCTGGTTGTAATGACATAAGAAGAGGAGAGGAAAAATTAACCATCTTCAACTGTGCTGAAGGTTATCCTGAGACAACTTCAAGACCATTACCCTGACTTACCGAGATCAGTTCTGGAAAGGTAGCTTGGTCAAAAAACTTCTGCTATGTATTTTTAGTGGAATTATTTTTTTTGTGACTTTGGCAAGAGAAAATCCCCTGTTCTACAAACTTATCATTTTTCCATATATGCCTTTTAATTATTTTCCTGTTTCTCTGCACTTCCCCTCCCCTCAACACACACACATACACCTTTGTGGGTAAAGATAATAATGACAACTAACATTGCACGCTGCCTTTGTCCTGCGATTTGGGTCTGTGAACATTTGTCATTATTTAGTTGCTGCCTGCTGGCATGAGCAAGTGTATTTCTTAATCTGTTTCACACGATTACTGCCCAAAGAGAGATCACTCTGTTTTTTCCTTAATTTTGCTAAAGAGGCCTGTGCTTTTCAGGGTGGAGCTTAGAAAGAAAAGCAGCAGGAAAGCAAAATGCACTTAATGAAAACGCAGCCCACAGCTCAGAGTTTCACACATCAGGATCCCCCGCAGCTCTGCCGCGCCTGCTTTCCAGAGGTATGGAACCTTCCCGCCAATGTTGTAGGCACAAGTTCACAGCACATTAAAAAATGAGACATTCTTATTACACGGCATCCTCAATTGAGTTATCAGGAGATGGAGAATAAAAAGATTCCAGTTCATCCTTTCCTTTTAAAGCCAGGGCATCCATTATGGAAATTACATCTTTCCCAGCTATGTTGTTCAGAGGTATAGAAATGGTGATGACAATAGTAATTATAATTATTATTTGTAAAAGGCCTAGTATGTGCCATGCATAATACTTAACTCTTCATTTGTATTAATTTTATTTCTGACCTCAACTCTGTCAGGCAAGCAGAATTAAGTAAGGAAAGAAAGCGTTTTGTGGAGGAGAGTGTCTCTGCTGCCTTTCAATTATATCCTACTTATAACAAATTAGGATTTTAGTACACCCTTATTGTTAAACCTTAGCCTGATAACATCTAAAATTCTATATTTTAAATTTTATATGAGTTTTAGAGCCAACTTTGACTTATACTCAGTTGTTTTTAAGGAATTGAATATAAATCTTGACATAAAATTTCAACATTTTGACTTAGTTGATTAAATATTTCATTTGGTCAAAATTGTTGGACTACATCTATTAACATGACCTAAGTGGAAGTCCAGGAAATAAAATAATTGTTTCGTTTCTTACATAAAATTTCACAATGACTTTCTGATGGTAAAGAGTAATGTGGCTTAGCCTAAAAATTTCACTGCAAATATTTTCTTTTGAAATTACAGTCTCCTTTAATATAATATTGGAAGGGTTTTTACTCTATACTTTTGTTTTGTTTTAAATATTTTCATCCATTTCAAATTATACAAATAATAAATATAAAAAATTCAGGCTATATAAGAAAATCTGCTTAAAATTAAACTCACAAATGTTAATCAAGGACAGTAATAATACCGAAGCCACAATAAGGGAGTTAAAATATAAAATGAAATTGAATTATGCAATGTATTCTCTAGTCTCTTAAAAGCTCATTTACCATTCAAATATTTAATTTTATGATATTTTATAGTTTTCATATGTCATATCCTTTAGAGTTATCATTTGGTCTTTTTGTAGGTGTTATGTGAAAACCATGATTTATTTCCACTACTAAAAATTTTAGAAAAATTTAAGCTAAATCGACAATCATGGTAGAATGTTAGAGTAATCCTTCGGGTTACAACTTCCAGAGTTTAGAATAAGGAGAATAGCTTTTCTGGGCTGCTCTGCTATCCAGAACATTATCAAGACCAGTCATAGCAGAGGATTTTTGTCTATCACTTCTGCCCCACCCAGATCATGTAGACAAAGATGGAGGTAACTGAGAACAAGAAATCAAAGTCTTCATCTCAGTGTTATAATTTGTTATATTAAATTCTGGAATTTATTAATGCCTCAATAATTGATTATCTCTACACAGCCTTCAATGCTAAAAAGCATCACCGATTTGGAATCAGTTTGTCTTACTCTAGGATCTCCCAAGAGTAGAGGAAGCACAAGCACAGGCAGCTTCAGAAAGTGATACTAGGCCACAGGGCAAAGGTAGTGAAGCAGATATGAGACAGAAGCAGGGAAAGCCAATCAAGAATGCATGACTACATCGCCACCGCTACAGGCCACTGGTGTACTCTGGATCTTCTGAGGAGCATTATGAAGTGCATCTCTAAACCATCCATATAGGAGACAAAAAGAAGCATCATCGTCACAGGCTTCAGTCTCCCATTAATCAAGATGCCCTCATGGACATCAATACTCCCATACTTCCATATGTCACATGTGAATAAATATTGGCTGTTTTTTTGTTAGTTTTATTTATTTATCTATTTATTTATTTCCAACATGTTCTATGAGATAGTTTCAAAGAAGCTCAAGGACAGTGATATGGTTTGGCTTTGTCCCACCCAAATCTCATCTTGAATTGTAGCTCCCATAATCCCCACGTGACGTGGGAGGGACCCGGTAGGAAGTAATTGAATCATGGGAGTGGGTTTTTCCAGTGCTGTTCTAATGATAGTGAATAAGCCTCACGAGATCTGATGGTTTTATAAAGGGCAGTTCCCCTGCACATGCTCTCTTGCCTGCCATCATGTAAGATGTGACTTTGTTCTTCCTTCAACTTTTGCCATGATTTTGAGGCCTCCCCAGTCATATGGAACTGTGAGCCCATTAAACCTCTTTTTGTTTATAAATTACCCAGTCTCAAGTATGGCTTTATTAGCAGCCTAAGAACAGTCTAATACATAAAGTAGGCAGGAAGTATGACTACACAAGCCTAGAGGGATGTCCTCTCAGGTTGCCCCTGTTAGAATCTGATTGAAGCTTGTACATAAATAATTCCCACTACAACGGCTGAAGTTGGGGCTAAGAAAATTTGGAATAATACAAAAGAGGAGTCCAACACAATTTTTCAATGACCCAATTTCTTTCTTGCCTTTGGCAATTTGCTAGCATTCATGTTATAGTACTTGCACAATTTATGTAGTAAGCTATGGCAAATAATCAAGCCCAATTGTGTCTAAAGGCAGATTATTAATATACATCTCATATAATAATATAATTTGATACCATATGAAAGAGAAGTGTGTACGCCAAAGTATGAGAGCTGAGACATGGTTTGATGCTCTTGTCAAAGATAATGTCCCATCTGCATATTTCATACTTTACAGACATTATTTAGCTTATAATATTCTGCTTAAAATAAGAAAACATCAATTAAACCCATTTTATTCTCATAAAGCTTGTTTTTCTCCTAAACATGAGGTTTTTCTTAAAGAGAATGAGAGAGCAAAAGAGAAAGAAGGAGAGTTTGCATATATATAAGAAAGAGAAAATTGAGAGAGAAAGAGAGAGATAAACTGGAGAGACTGATTACAAGTTCTTGCTTTGAACTTTTTCTTGAAAAAAAAGTTAAACGTGAAATAGTGCTCTGAAACACTTTACAGCCCATTCAGTTTCTTTTGGAAAATAATACTTGGGTTGAAATGAACACTTTAGAAGATATTTTATTTCTTGGCATTTAAAATCAATATTTTTCTCCCTGTCATGAATATTTTTTGGAGAAGTCTTGGCAGCTATTTTTATTCATTGCAATTGTGGGTCTACCATAGGTGAAGATGGAACACCTTTCTCTCATTATTAAGAGCTTAGTAGCCCTGAGCTAAAGGCTGTGATTCTTCATGTCACCACTGTGGTGGCAAATAAGAATTCCCATTTAGTTTCTAGTAACCTCATTTATCAAGAAGACTGTATTTCAAGCTTATATAGATTTAAGGCAAATAAAAACCTCTATGGTCATATATTGCATTCATCCATTAGAGAAAAGTTAAACTAATAGGATATTAATTTTGCAGACATACTAACCTATTCAAATTTTATTTTAAAAAGATGTGAAAGTGAATTTAATTTTTAAATTGGTTCTTCATTAGTGATACTTTAAATGTGCTGCTAAAATGAAAGAGCACTTACATGAACCACATTCCAAACTAGGGAGATTTCAAATTCCTTAAACTTTGCTGTGAACACGAAAGTAAAAATACGTTAGCAGAATGTCCTGCATGGCCGTTTAAAAGGTATTTTTAAGTAAAAGCTTTGAAATTGTTCTCAAGTCTTTATGCTTTCAATTTTAGCCTGAGTTGATCAAGAATAATAATAAAAAAAGGTCATGCTTTGAGAAACTTTAAATCTGTCTCAATCTCAAAATGACAAGCCTTTCAAGCCAAATGACTAAACCCCTCACAGGGGGAGACGAGCACACTGGGTCCTTCTGTGCCTCAAATAAACTTCAGGCTTCTTACTAATGCAGCCATGTGCTACTCACTTGTCTAGCTTTATAAACCTTTTTTCTGAGTTGAGATCATTTTAATTTTTTTTTTCCTTTCACCTTGCCTATGACCTAAAAATACTGGACATTAGCTTAACATTTAGTATTTGATGCAATTAAAAATTCAGCAAAACTATGAACTAGTAATAATGCAACAAGCCAAGTTACCATATATTTTCATGACTACTCTCACCAAACCCCCTTTGACCTCCTTTCACTGCCAGCAGATGCTGCCTTTCTGAAGATCATAAAAACACGGAGGCAAACCCTCAGAAACATCTTTTATTTACACCATTTCAACATACAAAGACTTTGTATTTTCTTGGAACCTATCAGGTTTATTAGTTTATATTATCTAAATTTCTGTCAATATCAAACTGATTTTTCTACTTTCCTCATCAATATTTTTTCATTATTTCATTAAACAATTAATCTAAATTATGTCTCCAACATGTGTATATTTGCATGCAATATGCAATGGGAAAACAGTAAAAAATTCAAAATATTTTAATAACTTCTCTAGTATGTTTCTTCATTGGGGTCCACTATTTAAAAATAGTATTTTATTGCCCATATATCTGAAAACATTTGAAAATATTTTACTCTAATACTATATTGGAATATATGAACATTTTAAAGTAAGATCTTTTATCATTTTGTCTAACTACAGATTACTTTTCCACAGAATCAAAAGTCTAGAACCAATGTTTCAGGCTCAAATTTGTAGCTTAAAATCCATTTCATCTTGCAATCTAGCTGTGAATCATTACAAGTGCAACATTCTCCATCACGGAAAGAATTCCTATGGTTGACTCTGAAACTTCAGTATACATGAAAGCACCTAGATCTTGCTTTTGGAGTAAGGACAGGGCAGGGAATCACCATTTTTACTAGCCAACTGGGAATTCAACATTTGGTAAACCTATGATTTTTTATTATGTTTAAATTGCACTCTACCTTCTTTGAATAAATAATTCTATTATGCCATTGATTTAGAAGTAACAAAAATGGACCTCAAGAAAATATTATAATTAGCTAGAATCTGGAATTTGATGTGGTTCCACAAAACAGTATCTTATTCACAGACTCTTCTTCTTTTCAGGGGAGGCATGTATTAGAGTAAAATATATTAGTAATTTTTTTGGTTTGTTGTTGGTTTGAGACAGGGTCTCTTTCCCATAGCCCAGGCTGGAGTGCAGTGGCACAATCATGGCTCACTGCAACCCTGACTTCCCGGGCTCAGGTGATTCTTCCACTTTGGCCATTCGAGTAGCTGGGACTACAGGCATGCACTGCCACACCTGGCTACATTTTTGTATTTTTTGTAGAGTGGGGGTTTTCCATGTTGCCCTGTCTGGTCCTGATCTCCTGGGCTCAAGCGATCTGCCCGCCTCAGCCTCCCAAGGTGATCAGATTACAGGCTTTTGGGATTACAGGCGTGAGTCACTGCACCCAGCTTTATTTGTAATTTTCATATTTTATCTTTAACCATTGATCGTTATACTTCATAACTTAAGTCTAATAACAAAGCTAATATGAATTAGGACTACATTGGTAAAAGTGTAGCATCCAGTATCAGAGAGATGATAATTCCTTTCTTGCTGCAAACATCAGGCTTCATCTTGTATATTCCTTTCAGTTGTCAACACTATGCTTTAAGAACTGGGACAAGTATCAAGCATTCAGAGGAAAGCACCAGTGAAGCTGGAGGAACATCAGCAGAGACATAGCTAGTAATATTGGTCCTGGGATAAGCAACCCTAATTGTGTCCTCAAAGTGATTTACCATTGACAATGTGGCTTAAAGATGGATATGAAAAATCCATGCCAGTCTGGGAGTTTGATAAGTTAACTATACTTAGTAGACAGTTACTAAGCTCTTACAACTGTTGCTTTGAATTTGGTTCTCTGAATGTTGGCGTTCTGGGGCAAAGTCTTTTCGAAAATGAGGAATGTCTGAGGTAATTTGGGCTTTGCGAGGAAAGGAACAGGAGAACAGGCTTGATGGAATTCATTTATTCAACATTTTATCAGTCAGAGCTCTCAATTACTAACAACAAATCCTCTCTGGCTAGCTTAAGCAGAAAAGAACCTGTGAAAGCACATTTGGCAACTCACAGAATCTTGCCAGAGCAAGAGAACAAGGTTGGGTGTTGCCAATGACCCTGAATTCGGCTTCTGTACTGTATTCTGCTCTCATGACTATTGGCTACAGCCCAATATATACATATGTGTGTATGCGTATGTGTGTGTGTGTATCTTCAACAGTAAATGTCATCTTGTAAAACATTGTGACTCATTTGGCTGATCAGGCAATACAATGAATGACTAGGCCTTAACTTTAATAATAATAGATTATGATTTTTTAGAACTATGTGCCAGTTAATGTTCTAAGTGTCTTATATGTATCCACTGACATGTTTTAGTCCTTGCAAAAAGCTCAATAAATTTTACTATTATTATCCCACTTTTAGAGATGAGGACAAAAAGATAGAGGTGGATTAGATAATTTCCCTCTGAGAGCTAGCAGTTGATAATGCCAGGATCTGAACAAAATATAAGTTGGACTCTCAAATATGGTCTTCTTTTTCCCAGTGTGCTCTATTTTCTTTAACCAAGTAATTAACTAATTAACTGACTCGATCTTCCTCAAAGCTACATGTGGCACTTCAATAAGTCATCAATGAGTTGCAGGTGATCCTGAGATTGATTGCCTGAGGCCTGGACAGCTGTGCATCTTCAGAAAGGGACAGGGAGCTTTGTACTAACTCACAAGGGAGTATGTTCTAAACAGACTAAACAGAGAAATCATTCTACATTTGTAACCATGGTAAAATCATCAACACACATTGACATTATCTTTGAATTATCATGAGATTGTATAACAAAGGTGTATAGACACTTATACAAGTGCTGTAATTTGTGAAATACATCCCTTTTACTTCCTCAAAGTTTAGTATACTCTGATACACAGAGTCTCGTGTGAGTGGTGATTCCTTATGGACATCAAGAAAAGGGGTGAGTTACAGTGCATGGCGCACAACCCACCCATAAAGAACAAGCTTTGGAAATAGTGTAACTCAGCAAAGACAGCTTCTGTATTAGGCTGTTCTTGCATTGCTATAAACAAACACTTGAGACTGCGTAATTTACAAGAAAAGAGGCTTAATTGGCTTATGATTCTGCAGGCTTTTTAGAACGTTTGGTGCTGACATCTGCTCAGGTCCTCGGGAGGCCTCAGAAAGCTTACAATCACTGTGGAAGGCAAAGGGGTAGCAGGCAGGTCACATGGCGAAAGCAGGGACAAGACAGTGGGGGAGGTGCTACATAAATAACCAGATCTCATGAGAACGCACTATTACAAGGACAGTACCAAGAGGGACGGTGCTAAATCACTTATGTGAAATCCACGCCCATGATCCAGTCACCTCCCACCAGGCCCCACCTCCAACAATGGGGATTACATTTCAACATGAGATCTGAGTGAGGACATACATCCAAATTATATCAGTTTCTATCCACAGAGAAAGCTGAAAAGCTGGAAACTACAGTCTGCACCCCATCTCACACACTCTGTCCAAATCCCTGGCGAGTTCGGGAGGTATGCAAGATCTTCTCTTGTTCTAAAATATAGTTGTCAAAGGACAGAGTACTTTAATTGACTTCCAAGTTAAACCTTTAATTAAACGTATTCTAAAATGAGATGAGGGGGCCTCAAGAGGTACAGTGCTTCCAGTTTCTGAAAGAAAATTCAACAGATACTCAATGTGATCAGAACTTTATTCATCTCATTTCTAATATTTTGAAATCCTATGAATAATAAGTAAAATATTTGTGTTCTTTGGTGTCATTTGAAACAAACATGAACATTGTTTTATACCTATGAGGAAGATTCAAATTCTAGGAGGAATTCATGATAATAACATTTCATTTGGGAAAACTATATACAGTAAAAAGCGTTTGTTGGCCGGGCACGGTGGCTCACGCCTATAATCCCAGCATTTTGGGAGGCCGAGGGGGGGTGAGATCACGAGGTCAGGAGATCGAGACCATCCTGGCTAACACGGTGAAACCCTGTCTCTACTAAAAATACAAAAAAATTAGCCAGGCGTGGTGGCGGGCGCCTGTAGTCCCAGCTACTCGGGAGGCTGAGGCAGGAGAATGGCGTGAACCCGGGAGGCGGAGCTTGCAGTGAGCCGAGATCGCGCCACTGCACTCCAGCCTGGGTGACAGAGCAAGACTCCATCTTAAAAAAAAAAAAAAAAGCGTTTGTTTGACAGCCATCAGAAGCTAGGGAAAAGATTTTCCTCATTAATGTTCATGAACCTTAGTTTCCAGTGATGGCATAGTAAAGTAACATAATCATAATGCTTTGCATTACCTCTCTTAATTTAAAAAAAAGCAAAATCTATAATTATTTCAACTCCAGTTTAGACCATAAACAATGAACAGTTCTTACAGAAAAAGGTCCTCTGTGTGATAAAAATAAACTGTTCAAATTTAGAAACAAAGCTGTAAATGTGAGGGTGAATCAATGTTCCTAAAAACCTAAGTACTTGAACACTCACAAGTTGGAAGTGAAGAAAATAAAGAAGGGAAAGTAAAGCACTTTTTCATTATTGTTTAATCAAAGTGAATTTTTAAGAGTCATGACACTACCTTTGAGAAACTGCCCTATAGATACCAACCTAAAAAAATGCAGGCAGAAAGAATCAGGTTTCTAATTTGAGACATAAAAGTTATCACATGCAAAACACAACAATTCAAACCATGAGGTCAGTTGGGATTTTTTTAATGATTATGTAGAGTCATATGTCATTAAGGCAAAACTGAAAATGTAAATGGGAGACTGTGAAATATTTAGTAGATTTAAAAATATATATCCTTTTTTTGTTTCTACCAATGTGGTGGATTAGATGTCTTAGAAAATCTCCTATATAAAAAAAAAAAAACACTTTAAAATAAAGGAGACCAAAAAACTCATAATTCTTGTAGGTATATATCTGAGATTAAACACAATAAGAAAAATCCCTAGAATCCAAAAATGAAGAAAGATGGAACCAAAGTAGCAGCATTATGTTGATGTTTAGGATTGATGGAGTCATGAGGCCAAGAAGAAAGTTGGGAGTTGGAATTGAGAAACACTTCATATGAAACTAAGACTTTCAAAAGCCTATGCTATGCGTGAAAGAGTGAGTCTTGAAAAATAGTCTAATTACAAGCCCAGGGAATTAAGAAAATTTACCCGTGTTGGGGGTCAGAGTGTGGGTTGGGATAAAGAATTCTTCGTAATCACCATTTTACCAACCTGTGGTTTCGGGTTTAACTATAAACCATAGATAATATCAAAGAAACTCGAGGTCAACACATTTTATTAGAGTTGGCCTGGACTGTTTACCATAGACACCAGCCAAAAGCAAATATGTATTCTCTCTGAATATACTTTCATCTCAAGGCTTTCAGTGTTGCCACAGAAAGTACATACCAAAGTTGTAAACTATACAATAAAACGAGTCAACATAGTGAATCAGGAAGAGCAACAAACAGCAAAAAGAGACATCTCCCAAATAAAAGGTTGAAAACAAAATATAAACTATCTATTTGTATTTGGAAAATGATAACATATAAATATGTTCTCTATTTAAAATGCTCAAGGAAATTAAAATTGTGTAGGAAATAAGAAAAAAAGTACTATCAAAATAAGAGGGAGAGCTCGCTATAATATCTAACAAAAAAGAAAATAACAGATATTAAAAACAACGTAAAATAAAATAGCAAATTAAATACACAGTTGAAGATACAAATTTGTATCTGAGCACAAAAAGAGGTGGAAAATATAAAAGATATGTTAAAGATATTAGGCATAGGATGACAATGACAAATATTAAATTAGATTCCCAGAAAGAATGAATATACAAAATGGGGCAGGAATATTCAAAGAGATAGATAATGTCTGAAATAACAGATTTTTCAAACTTAATGGAAGATAAAACTCTACTTCAAGAATAATAAATCTCAAGCAGAATTGTATATATGTATGCATGTGCATGTATTTGTGCATAGGTACATGTATCTCCATACCAGACATAATCTAGAGAAACTGCAAAATATCACGGATAAAGGCAGATATTAAAATGTCAGAGATTAAAAAGAAAGAAGGAAACCTTGGCCTACAAAAAAAGCAATTGGACCAACAGCAAGAACAAGGGTGGAAATAAAAAATATGTACAATGAGTGTTCAAAATGCTGAGAGAAAGTAATGTCAACATAGGATTGTATACTCAGCTAAACTAGTATCAAAGAATAAAGCAAAAATAAATAAATTTCAACACAACTTGAGAGAGCTTATTACTAGTGAATAGTCAGTAGAGGACTTCTGAAAAATGTATTTGAGGAAAAAAAGGATGGAAGAGCTGAGATGAAAAAAGAAATGTTAAATAGAAAAATTGGTAACTATGTGGGCAAATCTAAAAATATATCAGTATTACAACATCTAATTTCAGAAGCTGAAAAAATAGGTGTTACCAAAACACTAGAAAAATAGCAAGTATAAAAATAGGAGGTAATAGTGTTAAATCATTATAATATCCTTGGATTATTTTGAGAAAGATGATAAACATATTAATGTTAATTTCTAAATGTGTATGTGTTAAAATTTTAAAGATTTTCTGTAAAAGGTGAGAAAGCAAGTATGATAGTTGAGGAGATATAATAGGATAATAGTAATAATTAAGAATCCAAAAGGAGAACTGAAAAACTAACATAGAAAATGCAAAACAGATACCACAAAATAGTATGAATAAAAAAATACAAATATACCAGTAATGACATGAAATGTAAATAGACTACCCTTGCCAATTAAAGCAAAGGATGGAAAATTTCTGCTGTGTGTTATTTACAGGAAACATACTTGAAATACAAAATGTGAAGTTTGAAGTAAAAGTATAAACCAATAAGGTTATTACAAGCAAGAAAAATTACAGCCCAGTCTTTCATAGGCAAGATGCAAAATCAATTTTAAAAGTATTATAGATCTAATTGTTACAGATAAAGAAATTAAAGATTGTAGATTTTTAATATACCAAAACACACTCATGACTTTGGGTTAGAAAAACATTTCTTAAGGAAGACTCAAGAAAGCACTAACACTAAAATAAATGACATATAAATTGCATTATATTACAGTTAAAAACCTGCTTATGAGGTAAGGTCATCAAGAGAATGAAAAAGTAAGCTTCAAATTAGAAGTTCTCTGTAATCCATAAATCCAAGAAAAGACTCTCCCACAAATTGAAGACAAAGAGATATCATCCAATTAAAAATGGTAAAAGATGGGAAAGCATGTACCACAGTGAATGTCCATACTTCCAATGGCCATAAGTGCTCAATATCATTAATTATTGGAGAAATGGCCATTTAAATAACAGAACTATATGTATGATCGATCACCTACTAGTATGGGTTAAAATTTTAAAAACTGAAAAGTATTAGGAAGATGTGGAGTCACAGGGACAATCATATACTGCTAATGTGAGAGTAAATTGTCACAAACATTTAGAAAATCTCTCAGTATCCACCGACCATACACATATCCTGTCACCTAGCAGCTCCATTTGTAGGTAGAAACCCAAGAGTAATGGATTTATACGTACGCCAAAGCATGTACTGAATATGATCACAGAAGCATTATTCAAAATACCACAAAAGTAGAAACAACCCAAGTATGTATCAACAATAGAACTGACAAATGTGGTCTTTTCATACAATGAATACTACATAGTACTGAAAATAACAACATGAATCAATCCCATAGACATTATACTGAGTTAAAGAAAAATATAAAAGTGTATATACTGTATTACTCCAATAATATGATGTTCAAAACAATTAAAATTAATTAATACCGACAAAAGTAGGAATAAAGATTGTGTTTGGTCTTGACTAGGAGGAGTAATGACTAGGAAGAGATAAGAAGCATCCAAGATGCTGATGTGACTCTATTTATTGATCTGGTTAATTGTTATCAAGGTAAGTTCACTTGTAAAAATCAATCAAGCTATAAATTTGTGATTTGTGCATTTAAAATATATTTAAAATACAATTTCATTTGTTGGTTGGTTTTTAAAGAAACTTTAGCTTTTAATTTTATGGGTACATAGTAGGTATATAGATTTATGGGGTGCATGAGACATTTTGATACAGGCATACCATGTGTAATAATCACATCAGGTAAATGGAGTACTCATCACTTCAAGAATTTATCATTTCTTTGTATTATAAACATTCCAATTGTAATCTTTTAGTTATTTTTAAATGTACAAGAAGTTATTGTTAACTGTAGTTACCTTAATATCTCTTGTCTTCTATCGTTTGATTTCCTGCTGGTGCCTCCCATTGGCTGAACCCACTGGGAAACCAGGGAGAAGGGAGCCAAATTGATGGAGTCAGTAAATGTTCAGCCTGCCAGGGCACTAAGCAGGGCCACTGAGAAGTGGCCAGAAAAGACCACACGAATGAGTACATTACAACTAAAATAAGTATACAATGGTATATCATACACCATTACAAATTAGAGCTAGAATGCTAATTCATGAATCATGCAAAATAAACAGACAAAATAATGAGCACAAAAGAGAACTGCAAAAACAAAATACAGTGTAGTATAGATTTTCATAAATTCTTAAAATATAGAAAAATATTATTTATTGTTTGGGGAAGCATTTATGTAGTAGAGGGAATAAACAAATGCTTACAGATAATAAATATCAAATTTAGGGTAATTATTTTCTGGGGACGTTGATGTGGAATGTGATTACAAAGGACTTTAACTGTATTTGTAATGTGTTCTGTCTTAGGATACATAAGCGGTACATAGGCGTTTATTAAATTACTCTTTACATCTTTATGAATACCGAAAATATTTTACAATAAAAAGCAACAAGAAACAAACTACCACTCATAATTCAGCATTATATCATTATTAATATCTAATAAAAGTCATTAATTATATTAGTCAACTAATATATAACTAAAATATATTAGCTGACACTTTCATATCTATTTACTATAATAATTTTATATGGTATTACTATAATTAGAAACAAAAAATCTATTGCAATATATATAGATGTACATATACATGTATATATATTTTGTGGGGGAGGCTGAGGCAGGAGAATCACTTGAACCCAGGAGGTGGAGGTTGCAGTGAGCAGAGATGGTGCCACTGCACTCCCGGCTGGGTGGCAAAGTGAGATTGGGTCTCAAAAAAAATATAGATTACAGATATAGATATAGATATATACATGTATATATCTATATATATATACACACACTTATAGATATATCTATAGATCTACAGATATATACACTATATATATATATATTTTTTTTTTTGACTCCTTATTCAAATTTAATTGCCTGTGCTGAGCGGACCCTATTAATAGAAAATATCCTTCGAGTTCTTTGTTACGGGACTAGGGACCATTTTTGGATTTTTCTTTTTTGAGCAACTATGTGCAATTGTGAAGTTACTTAGGGGTATTAGGGCAGCATGTGGCTTTAAAACAGCAGACCTAAGTGGTCTACACAGAAATTTAATCCTGAACTGCAACTTCATCAGCTTAGTACTCTCAGAAACTGAACTCACTTTAGTGAATACATACATCCTGCATGATATTTTTATTGTGTGATGTTTATATCTGTTTATGTAGATATTGAATATATATGTAATTAAATGACTATTCTTATTTGTATTTCTTGCAAGTTATTTAATGTATCTGCTTTCCTTCTGAGGAATACCTTTAAGTCTTCTTTTTTCTAATTATTTGCAATTTTAGAATTTAATTCCTTAGTTCATATCCTTATCCTTGAAATAATACCTAACAGAGCTTTCCTTTATTTTGTAAGCACAACAAAGCCTATACATTGAGTAATCCCGGAGGCTTTCTGATGAGTGCTGCACAAGTCGAGGTTCATTTAACAAATATGATCTCATGCGCTGTCAGCATATGTGTCCTCACTATAATTAAAATGCAATAACAAGAAATGCATGGCAAATGAGTTTTAAACCTCCACCGACATAAGAAATAACTTCTCTCTTCCAGGGTCAATTGAACCACATTTCTCACTTATTTTGCCCTCTGTCTCCACATAGATCTATAATACTGAAAAAAAAATTCTTTCTCATTACAGAGCAACACTATAATAAATTAATTTCATTGCTCAAGCTAAGTACTTTTAAATATTACTATTTCTATGGCAATCCTCCTTCCATTTATTTTACTGGAAACTATCTGCAGTTTTTTTTATTCAAACTGCATTCGTAACGTTATCAAGTGCAAGCAAACTGTGACTAAACCAATCATAGCATGGCAATTCTTCAATTAATATTCTTAAACAATGAGAATAATTTCAAAAATGGTATAGCCTTTTCTCTCAGCATAAGTAGCATCAGTTCACTGTGTCTCCTGATGACAAACCCTGATGATAAAAAGTGGGAAAAAAATCAGAATCTAAACATTTGGCTTCAAAAAAAACTATAGCAGAAACCTTGATTTTTAAAAATTAAGATTGGTATTTGTTCAGCCAGCACATTTGGATATAAGCAGATTTTCTTCCTTCCTAGTGCTGTTTATGTGGCAGGTACAAATAGTCCCTCCTGCATAAACATCTATGGCAGCTAAAGCATTCCAACTTCAAGATTGAATTTATTTATATGACACTCTTCTTTCTAATAGTGCAAAGCACTTTTGCTTTCATAGATATAATTTTCTATAATTTCTTCATTGAAACAGCATCATATACACACATCTTTGGTTTGAATAGACAATAAATATCATTTTCTATTTGTTTCCTTAGAGAAGTAGTTATAGTTTTTATCATTGTTATTGGATATTATATGTTATTTTCTTACCTCAAGAAGAAACATTTTATGGTCTAGCTTTTAAAATTCTGTTTTTAGCCTATTTCACATAAGAATTGTTTAAAAGAACAAAGTAAGGGAGGAAAAGAGGGAGGGAGGAAGGGAAGGAGGGAGGAAGGGATGGAGGGAGGGAAGAAGGGAGGGAGAGAGGAAGGAAGGAAGGAAGGAAGGAAGGGAGGAAAGTGAAGGAGGGAGGGAAGGGAAGGGAAGGAAAGAGGGAAGGAGGATGAATAAATTCAACATGATTGAAATCAATATATTAGGTACATGTTACCAAGTGTTTTAAGAAAATAAATAAAGACTATCACACTTCTTTATGTTTTCCATGTCAGCTATTCTTCATCAGCTACTACTACATTATATATTAATAATTTTTAAGAACCTGATGCTTTTTTTAACACCTAGTAGAAATGCTATAAATAGTTTATAAAAGATAATAAAGCTCTTAGAGTTTTAAAATTTATTTCAGAATAAATGATTAGTAATTACTTCTTTTTGCTTTGTAACCGAAGTTTTTGGAAACTAAAACGAGTTCTTTAATGGAAAATTTTGAATAAGACAAATTAACTGAAATTAATTCACAATATTTAACATTACTTTGTAATCTATTGCACATTCCTATTTAATTATGTCTTTTTTGTTTACTGGTCTTTACCAGTAAGATTCACTTATATGATTTTTATCTTAAGGTCATATATAGTGATGGAAGTGCCTATAGTGTATATGATGTTCCTATAGCGTAAGAAGAGCCTTATTTATCTACACAAGCAATACACTGGCCAGTATTACCTCTCGTATATAGTAACATATTATCTAAAATGAGTTACACATTTCTCCCATGTTCAAGGCACCATTCTAGAGGCCAAACATAGATAATTTAGGCGTGGTCTTTGATACTAGGAGTTTATAATAAATCAAGGGAAACAAATGTTAAGGAATTGATACATGCTGTAATAACATTTTGAGTTATGTTCTGTGGATTCACTAAGGGTATCATTAATTAAAGAAGGCCAGGAAGGCTTTCTCAGAAGGCCATATGTGAGCTGAACCTTGAGGAACAAGCAAAAAGGAGGAGTTTGATGGAAATGAAGTTTTTCAAAGTTCAGTCACTGTGGACCACATGCATGACCTATGTTAATACCTATGGTTATAGTTACTTCATATTTTCCTTCATATGATTCAAGTTTTATTAAATTTTAAATAAATGTACTTAAAAAGAAAGCACGTTAGGACTTCCACAAGTGAAAACCCAGTATCACCTGGCACAATGTAAAGGTGAAGTTGAAAAATAGATGTGTTGAAAACAGAAGAAAACATTATATTTTACATAGTTTCTGTTGCTACCAAAGACTGTTCTGCAGGTCTGCATCCCTTGTTACAAAGACAATTTAACAGAAAGAACAGGGACAAAATAGAAGAGATACAAAAAAAAAAAAAAATGCTGCTACAGACTGACTGAGTCCCCTTACAGTTCATAAGTTAAACCCCTAACCCCCCATGTGATGTTATTTAAAGATGGGATCTTTAGGAAGTAATTAATTTGGGATGAGATAATGAGGGTGGGGCCCTCGTGCTGAGATCAGTCCCTTTATAAGAGACACTTGAGTCCTCTTTCTCCCCACCCCCACTCCATATGAGGACACAGTGTAAGGGTGGCCACCTGCAAGCCAGGAAGAGAGCCCTCACCAGACCGTTCATTCTGACACCTTGATCTGGAACTTCTAGCCTCCAGAACTGGGAGAAAAAAAATGGTTGAAGCCTTTCAGTCTATGGTATTTTGTTATAATAGCCCAAGAGGACTAAGACAGATGCCAAGAAAATTGAGGAAAAAAAAATATTTTCCAAGTCGTAATACAATTTGATTTAATGCTATGTGTGTGAACATAATTATCTACCTACCAGGTCCAGCTTATGATAAATGAAATGTGTCCTACACTTTTGGAAACTCTATTTTTAAAAACGCCCTCATAAACACAGGTAGAGAGATGTGAGCAAATATGCCATGGTTGGTGGAGAACAAGTGATCTAGTGGTGCAGCAAGTAGCCTTTTAAAGCTTGAACTTGAAGGTATGTGTGGCAGATATAATGATTATATTCATACGAGCATAGGGGGATTTTTCCTGGCCTGAATTATTTAGTTTAGACAAATTTATTAGTTTCATTACTATGTAACAAATCACCACAAGCTTCGCAGCTTAAAACAACACACATTTTGTTACTCAGAGTTTCTGCAGGTCAGGAGTCTAGGCTTTAACATAACTGGATCTTCTGCTTATAGGCTTACAAGGCTGCAACCAAGACATCAACTGAACTGCATTCTCAGCTGGAACTAAGCTGGAAAAAAAAAATGTATTTCAATGCTTACTCAGGTTGTTGACAGAATTCATTCCCTTGTGGCTGAAGGGCTAAGGGTACCAGCATTTTGCTGGCCATGAGTTGAAGCTTCTCTCAGCTAGTAGCGGCTACTCACATTCCTAGAAGCCATTTTAATTCCCAGAAGCTCCCATTGTTCCTTGCCACATGGGCTTTCCCAACATAGCCTATTACTTAAGCCAGCAAGGAAGACAGTTCTTAGAGCAAGTCCCCACCAGCAAAGCAGTTATATATATATATAATATGTATGTATATATGATGTTATATATGTGATATACATTGTTATAGATAACATATATTAGTTTTGTATATGTAATATATATTATACATAACCCAATATCGTATGTGTGTGTGTGTGTGTGTGTGTGTGTGTATAATAATGTAACCATTGGAATTACTATTCTATCATCTTTTATACATTCCATTTTTTAGAGGCAAGTTACAGGTCCTGTCAACACTCAGCAAGAAGAGATTATACCAAGACATGAAAACCAGGAAGCAAGGATCATGGAGAGAATCACTGGTAACACTCTAACATGTATCTGGCACAGATGTCTGAAGCGGTTCTCTCCAACTACACACATTTAAATTCTTTTAACTTCAAGTACTAAAAAAGGAATAAATTTTAAAAATCATTGTGTTTATAAATTTGAATGTGAAGGAAAATAACAACAAATTACCCAACTCCTGATCCCAAACTTAATTCCAAAGTAGAAAATTACCAGGATATAAGTATAGCATTCATGGGTCTAGAAAGCTTTTAATAGATATGGTGCTAAAGACTCCTCCTGGATTCTGGGCAGATTGCTGCTGGTACCCATGGCTATTTGGTTACTTTGTTATTATGAGCATATGATAGCCCAATCCCGTGACTGGGGCTAAGTCTCTTCATACTTCCTCATTTACCTTTCCTCCAGCACCATCAACATGAAATCATTAGTGAATCTCTTTTTGAAGGAAGAAGAGAAATAAATAGGAAGAGGAAGGATGAGGAGCCATGGAAGGAGGAAAAGAGGAGGAGGAGGGAAAGAGGAGGAAGAGGAAGAAAAGGAAGAGGAGGAAGAGGAATATCACACGCAAAATAAGTTGACTTAAAAACAGACCAAAGCCTGCTTATCTTTCCTCACTTTAATCATAATCAGATAATTACAATTGGAACTTTAAAATACAGCTCACGCCTTGAGAGTCTTTACGTAGACAAGGGCCCTGTTTTGGGTTTGACTGCAGTGCACAAGCATATGAATTCATCATTTGAGTAATGATGGTGGGCAGGGTGCAGAGCAATAAAGTGATGGAAGTAAGAGGAGCAGCTGATGTGGAGACCATTTAGGGACAATTGTGATATTATAGGAAGGAATGATCATAAAGCCTGAGCTATTCTGTGGAAATGAAGAGGATAAAATTTGGACTTAAGAAGAAAAGGAGGATGAGAAAGAGAAACAAGCTGACAATAACATAGACAATCAGCAATTATTCGTGGACCTGAACAGGAGAACATGTATTTAAATACAAGAGTGAAGTTCGAGCTGTGGATAGGAAACTGACACTGGCTGATTTGGGGAAAGTATAATTTAGGAATAAAAAAGAGAGAGAAAGTGCTAACTCATTTTAAATCTCATATTTTAAAAGACATACTAATAGTCACAATGTACTAACAAGAATTTGAGTAAGAAAAGTAGGAAAAGGATAGGTAAAAGGATGTTGACATTAGATACTTCAAAGAGAAAGAAGAAAGATTTTGTGATATTGAAGACCTTTAGTTTCTTTCCTTATTAATAAAACAGAGTTCATAGCCAGACCATAGACAAAGACAGATTGGTGATAAGAAGTTAAGCAATGGCAGTATTTCACATATGTGAACAGAAATTTATTAAATCATGACATTTATCTGCTCAGTACTTTGATAACATAGATCTATTCTATTTTTAATCCTGAATAATTTAAAAAATTACTCTACATTAAATATTTAACCTATTCAAAATTATCCTGTCCTAAATATATCAATTAAATGCATACATTATATGCAAGATCACTTTTACTAAACCAAATTAAATATTGAACTAAATTTAATAATTAAACTGGATTTCATATTAGATCAATTTAACACACAGTATAAAAAGTTCAGTTTGTGCAAGAATGAAAGGGTAACAGGAATAAATATTGGATAGGTTAAAAAAGAAATGACTGTGAATTTAGTTAATAAAATATTCAACATTTAAAATTATAAGGTAATATTTATGCGACATATGCATGTATATTTGTGAATGTATGCACATGTGTATGTGTATCACTGTGCTGATGCATGTAAAGATTTTAGACATTATTACCTAAGTAGACCCTTATTCTGGAAATATCTAGATAATCATGACTTCCCAGAATTCCCAGGCACCACCATAGCGTATGTTTTCCCTCATAAAATGCAGTCAGGTAAAAATAAAAACATAAATTACCTCTTACAATCCCTAATAAGAACTACCATACTCATAATAAAAGATGAGTTGATACAGTGTCTGAGTAGTTGACTAGCTTCATTTACTCTCCAATTTTCTTCATTCATTGAAGAAAAATATTTATTGAGCATTTAGTTGTGCTGGGAACTGCTCTAGGTACTCAGGAAATAGAAATGAATCAAACACAAAATGTCCTTACTCTTATGGAGTTTCATTTTAAGGCAGCAGGAGGACAAACACACACATAATGTGCCATTTGATAACGAGATATAAAGAAAAATAAAACAGAATAAGGAGGATAGAGATTGACAGGGAAAAAAACAACATTTTATTTAGACTGACAAGGGAAGGTCTTTCTAGGAAGGTGGTATTTGGGTATAATGAAATGAGGAAGAAAGTCTTTCTGACCTGGAAGAAGAGTCACTAATCCTCAGAGCTGAAGATAGCTGCCATAGTTCGAATGTGTCCCCCAAAACTTCCTGTGTTGGAAACTTTATCCCCAATCCAACAATGTTGGGAAGTAGGGCCTAATAAGAGAGGTGATCAGGTCATGAGGGCGGAGCCTCAAGAATCGATTAATGTCATTATAATGGGAACAGGTTAGTTATCTCAAGAGCAGCTTGTAATGAAGGGAGTCCAGCCCCTTCTGCATCCCACTCTTGCCCTTCTGCATCCCACCCTTCCGCTATGAGATGACTTTGGCCAGATGCTGGGACAGTATTCTTAAACTTCCAAGTCTCTAGAATCGCAAACCAAATACAATTCTGTTCTTTATAATCTACCCAGTCTGTAATATTCTTTTATAGTAGCAGAAAATGAACTAAGACAGTAAATAAGTGACTTCTACTACACAGCAGTCTCATATATTTTACCATAAACTTTCAGCATTGCTTGCAAACTGTCCCAAAGGAAAATGTTAAACCTGAACATTCAGTAAGTTTTGAAGATCAAAGACATTCTAGAAAGGTCTCCAAATCCTAAACCCTCATGCAATATCAAATTAGAAATAAGTGTTTACACACATACACCAATGAAATTCAAAGTACAATTGTTTATACATAAAGTTTAAATCAAGGCTAGCCTCCAGTAACTGATATACAGGATTAATGCTATCTTCTGTTTAACTTAAAGTAAACTAGAACCTACAGTATATATTCTTTCTAAAATGCAAGAGTCCAATTTTCTGTCTTTGTAAGGAGGAAACATCAAACGAGATAGAAACTTCTTTGATGATTGAAAAGCTTACACGGCCTTCCAGTCCTCCCTCTGAACATTCATTCTCACTCTGCTCGCAGTATTTGAAGAAATAAAAGGGTAGAGAATAACACTGAATTTATACCAAAAGCAAGATATTAGCTGGAAATATGTTTGGGGCTAAAGCTCTAAAATAAAGCTGTTTTTTCCTAAAATCAATTTCTCTAAGTTTGCTGAATTTTATTATTAGGATCTATGATTACTTAGATTCTAATTAGTCAATTTTATTATACAACAATTAATTATAACTTCCATTTCTGAAAACTTTAGCAATTATAAAAGGAATCAAACCAACACAATTTGGCTTCAAATAGAGAAAAAATTGGGGTGGCTCAGTATTTTACACATATTCTATTTTCCACTTTATTGTCACAGCTCTTGAAAACACATACTGTATCTCTATCTCATGGATAAGTATAACAGTCAAAGTTAAAACTCTCTCAGTCAAGACCTATCATCTGTGAAACTTGCTTCCCCAGGAGATTCTTCCTTCCCATTGCTGTGACATTTTATCTAGCAAAGCATCTCTGTAACATCTATTTGGTAGCTTTGTTTGTTTGTTCCTAACTAAAATAGTGAGAAACCAAATTTATTCCAGTCAAATAAAAACCACTTGCCTTGTCAGCTTACTGCTATTGCTGTATGTCCTTGGTCTGAGAAGAAAGCATTGCTCTTTACTGGATCCCCCATACTATTAAAAGAGTGTGTGGTTTGCTATAGGTACTCCAAAAATTGAATTCAAATGAACTGCACTAAATTACCTGGAAGCCCATACTATCTTTACCCCTTCAATCCCCATTGCTTGCACCTGACATGATTTTTGCCAAACTTCATTAAATAACATTTGTCTTATTTTATATATCCTAGTATTCACTTTTTAATCTCAATAGAATAAATCTAATGAAAGTGGTAAAACATGTCCTAAAGGTAAATATGTCTTAACTATCGCTGCAAAAACTGTCTTCTCTTTTTCTTAATATCGCAATAAATGAAATACATAACTGTCTATAATCTACACATGCTTTCCACTATGCCTTCTTGATTACATTTTGTTTATAACAAAATAAAATAATTTAAATTACATTTGAGTGATTCTCCAGGATAATAATTCCTGATACTAACTTATTGCCAAATTCAAAAACAAAAAGGGGTTTTAACCAGAACTAAATTTCAGTGTTCCTGTTTGCTGTTGTATACATGTTTTTAAAATATAGCAGCCATGCATTATTCTCTTCCACTTTTGTAATATGCAAGATGATGTTATGCACGCTGCAGGTACACTGTAAAAAAGATTTATTTATGCAGCTTTGAAGTGGAAATAAATAGCTCTTCTTTGGAGGTTTAAAAAGAAATTTTAATTTGTTTATTTGATGATATTTTCCCAATTGTATAGTATTATTTAGCAGTGACCAATATTATTTTTAATGCAAAATCTTTATTGTAGTAGAAAATGAGATATTTGAACTTGCTCTGCTCTGATCAGTATAAGTCATTGATTGGAATGTGAAACAAGTTAGGATACACATTTAGGCTATATTTAGGCTACAGCTGTCCTTTTTTTTATTTTTTTTAATTTTTACTCCTCAATTTAAAGGGAAAGTTGGATCATAGCCATATTTTTTCTTGAAAATGGGAAAATGGCTTTTGAAACACTGAATGGGTAGAGACAGAATAACAATTCAATAATTAGGCATTCTTACAATCATTTGCTAAGCTGAACTTTTAAAATCAGACTTATAATTTAATTTTCTACCTATATACACACACTGTTGTTTATGTGAGGTTTCAACATCTCTTTCTTTCTCCTTCCCTCCCTCCCTCCCTCCCTCCCTCCCTCCCTCCCTCCCTCCCTTCCTTCCTTCCTTCCTTCCTTCCTTCTTTCCTTCCTTGCTTCCTTCCCTCTTTTGAAACAAGGCCTTACTCTGTCACTCAGGCTGGAATGCAATGGTGTGATCTTGGCTCACCGCAACCTCTGTCTCCAGGGCTCAAGTGATACTCCCACCTCAGCCTCCCCAGTAGTTGGAACTACAGGCACGTGCCACCAAACTCGGCTAATTTTTGTATTTTTTTGTAGAAACGGGGTTTCATCATTTGCCCAGGCTGCTCTAGAACTCTTGGGCCCAAGCAATTCAACTGCCTCAGTCTCCAAAGTGCTGGGATTACAGATATGAGCCAATGTCTCTTTCATTACCCTAGATATGGGAAAGTCCCAAGACAATGTCCTGTGAAGACTTCATTGTGTTACCAAATCTCAACAAGTATTGTATGCGCAACAAAGTCATAGTTATTCCATTGCTACAAAAGTAGTGGAAAAGAAGAATATCAGATATTTCAAATATCACCGCAGAATTCTTTTTTCTTTGGTGTGATATTGGATCATGGCTGTCAATTCTTCATGACTTTCCATAAATATATTTATACATTCATACCTTTAGCCATATGACTTTATAGTTCTCCCACTAAAGGCATGGTATATTTCTCTGTTTCACTAATGTTGGGATTGTGACATACTTGGTCAATGGAATGTGGGAGAAGTGAGAAGGTGCTAGTTCCAGGCAAAAGCCACAGAAGATATCAAATATTTCTACTTATCTTTATTCACTCCAGTGATTCACTGTGTTGAGAACAAGTCTCAGGTAGCTGCTGGTCCATGAAGAATAAAAAAGTACATGGAGCATACTGAGCCAACTTCAGCATGGACATAAGTTGAGCAGTGTCCTAAAGCAGGGCTGTAGCTGTTGACCTTCAGGCCAAAGGCTAAGAAAAAAGAATGCCTATTATTATAAATCACTGGTTTATTTCAGTTGTTATACAGCATTGGTGCAGCAATAGCTGACTATACAGATATTTTGTCCACAATAAGAGAGAAAAGAAACAAAGAAAAATAAATGCTTCTCAGAAACAATAGCCAATTTAATAATACAATAATATAAGGATAGCCTGTTATTTTAATAATGAAAATTATGGCATTTTTTAGATGCTAAGACCTCTATGAATAGACCTAAATACAAGGAACAAAGATAGTTTGACTATAATCTCCATTTGAATACAAAACAAAGGATTGGGTTATAGACACATTTACAAACAAACACATGAGGCTAATTGGGGTTCATTCTCCAGCATCAGTAATTATATAATCTATAAGTCCCTTGGAAAATATAAATTAAGATAGGCATATTTGGCTGAAGGAATCTTTGAAAATTTTGCTTACCTCATAGCATACTTTTAATGCCCGGGAATCAAGTAATGCCTCATCTCAACCTAACTCAAACATTTTACTTTCTCCAAACTTGTATAACCTTCAAAATTATTGTAACTTTTTACATCTCCTCCCATTATTTGATTTTTTTCACCACAAAAAGTCTTGTTATGACTAAGAGAAGTGTCTACTTAGAGGGAAGATTATTAGGAGAACACAAACATTTACCTCTTCTTTGAGGACTACCTTTACTATGACTTCCAGAGAAGAGAGAGAGAAAGAGGAAAAAAGAAAGATTTTTTAGATAATTTTTCTATTTCTTCCTGAAAACCAACTGCAATCATATATGTATATATGTCCCTGGATTCTATGAAACAACACTACCCTTAAAATAAATATTCCTCTTTGCTTACGAAATACTGTATGTATTTTGAATCGTATTCCTGCTACTTGAAACTAATTGATATAGAAATTACTTCCAGGAGTGGAAACTGCAATTGACAGACCTTAAAATATAAAACTGGCTGAAGTCAAAACATACAGGACTGATTCTAATCCTTCTCATGAGAGATAATTTATTTAAAATATCTTCTTCAGTTCCTTAACAATTAAACTATATGCTCTACAAGACTTAGTGAAAAAAAGGTCAGAAAGGTAGAGTATATTTATATTTTCTATATAAACTGTAATCAAAGCCAGCCCTCAAAATAACTAAAATGTAATAACAAAGGAATTATCTATGTTTCCTAAGCTCTTCTGCCATAGTCAGAGATCTAAGCACTGATGACATTTACATGATAAAAAGTCTCACTGAAACCGAGCAATCTCAAACTCTATAGCACTCTAAAGCCAGTGAACAAACTGGAGACTTTATAGGCTTAGGAATGGAAATGAAAATGCCTAGGAAAACCAAAATACCAAGAAAACTTCAAATTGCCTAAAACGACAAAGCTACACAAATAAGAGATGTCACCCTTAGATTAGGAAAAATGTCTCCCACTATGACTACACAAGCCTGTGGTTTCCTGTGTTCTGAAGGACAAACCATTAATCAAAGAACAGATTTGTTGTTACACAGAATTCATTGTCCTGTTTCTAAGAATTAGAAGTCATTCAGATGTCCAGTCTTGACTGTGGGCTTGAGAACAATGATTCCACTTGCTAATGAAGATCTCAAAAAAAGAAACTGGTGGGCACCCAATTATAGCTTGGATGTAAATCTCATACTCACTAAATAAAGAGTGGTGAGTGATTAAAAATTCAAGCAACGTTCAGGCACTAGTGTTTCTACTAACAGTAAATGAATCATAAGGACAGCACGATAAATTCTAACTGAAAACCTTCTTAGTACCAACCTTCAAAAACAATGGAATTTTTATTTTATTTTATTTTTCCTAGAAGACAAAATTGGAGCAACCAGTCTGACTGACCCAGCTGCCACTAAATTTAGAGGATAGGTAAAACTCTCATGATGGGCTCTGCAGCACTTTTATATATTTAGGAATGTATGTATAAAATTAGTGTAACTATCACCCAAATAATGTACATTGTACCTATTAAGTCATTTATCATCCCTCACCCCCTCCCACCCTTCCACCCATCTGAGTCTCCAATGTCTATTATTCCACATTCTATGTCCATGTGTACATATTATTTAGTTCCCACTTAGAAGTGAGAACATATGCGTTTTGACATTCTGAGTTGTTTCACTTAAGATAATGGCCTCCAGTTGCATCCATGTTGCTGCAACATATATTATTTTATTCTTTTTTATGGCTGAATAGTATTTTATATATATATATATATATATATATATATATATATATGAACATTTTATTTATCTAATCAGCCACTGATGGGCATTTAGGTTGATTCTATATCTTTGCTATTGTGAATAGTGCTGTGATGTACAAGTGCAGGTATCTATTTGATATAATGACTTCTTTTCTTTTGGGTAGATACCCAATAGTGGGATTGCTGGACCAAATGGCAGTTCTATCATTAGTTCTTGGAGAAATATCCATACTGTTTTCCATAGAGGTTATATTAATTTGCATTTCCACCACAGCTCTCTTTACTGGTCTTCCTCATTTTGCTGTGTTTTATTTATAATTTTTAAATTATATCAAAGTACCTCACTTGGACTTTTACATTTTTATACATATTTGCCACATCTGCTAACTAATTCAAATTTTACTTACTCTTTTGGTTATGTAATAGAAATGGAGGATTATAATCAATTGTTAACCTTTAAGTATTTAAAGTCAAGGGAAACTTCTCTATGGGAGGACCTCAATTTTCCACTTGGGCCAAAATGCAAGTCAGTGATGGAGGAAATTTCTGATTAAAAAATATTTAAGATTCAAAAGAAATCAGGCTAAGGAAGGAAGATATTAAAAGTGAAATGTAATGCTGATTTCAAACACCACTGTTATACCCCTTACATAAGAAAGGACCAGATGGTTGTAGACATGGCACATGTATACATATGTAACAAACCTGTGTGTTGTGCACATGTACCCTAGAACTTAAAGTATAATAATAAAAAAAATTTAAAGAAAAGAAAGGACTTGGCTGAGAATACATGCACCTGAGATCTGGATTCAGCTATTACTCTACTTAGGTCCTAAAGGTTAAACAAGATATTTATCTATTTATTGTCTCAATATCTTCACCAAAAAAGAGGTGTGGGTTGAGGAATGCATCTTTATCTGGGTGTGAGGTTGTTACTGGGACTAAGAAGCATTTAACACAAGGAATAATGTTAGTATTGACAAGTTAGGGCAAGTAAACTTGGAAGGCACATTTGATCGTTTGTATCTACCTGAGGATGGATATTTAATATAGAAATACTTGGGTCTCATAATAAAAAGCCTCCTAGGACAGGTGACTATTTCCTATAAAGTTTTTAGTACTCTTATTTTCAGTGTTTAAGATATATATTAAAGTTTTTGTGGCAATGAGAGAAGTCCATGTCTAAAGCAGTGAGAAATTAGTCCAGGAATAATAAAGTGAATTCCAAAGTCTAAAATTCGTATGGAAAAGTATTTGTGGTATATAGAGCAGTGGGACACAACACGCCAATGTGTCCAAGTCTAGAAACAGCAGAATCTGAGGTCCCAATACTGCGAGGATGCAGTTGTGAGTATTGCAAAAGTGAAGTGAGCTTGCTATTGGCAGATTACATTTTATTAGGTAGTAAAGGGTGTCCCAGGGAAAGAGTCAATAAGAAAGTAAGAAATACAGAGCTCTATAGAAATCAACAATGGGATACAGAATTGAGACATTCGGCACAAGAGTAAATTTATAATAGAAATACTATTGAAAAACAAAGCATTTTTAAAAAACTGTGTAACACACGGACGAGCAGGTGATCCATAGTACATCTCATGGGCCTTCCATTAGAAAAGTTGGTCAGAGGAAAGCCAAAAAGAGAGGTGGCAATAGGAGGGCAGGGTGAAATTAATTACATAGCAGAATAAAAGGATCATCCTCTCATAGGAACAGCAAGCAGGGCTGATCTGCATTTTAGATAATTAATCCTAGTGAGGTCTAAGATCCAAGTTCTTCCATTCAGGCACTTATCCTGGAAATGAGTGAAATACTAAAAATTTTACTAAGTCAAATATCTCATGATGTCTTCTTCTATTTCCTCTTTAGGGTGTAACACAATTTTAAGTGAATAAATACACCCTGAATCAAGGGAAATGAGGAACAAAGCATCTGTACATTGTGTAATCCTTGCTGATTGCAGAACTTTTGGGCCAATTCTGTGTTTCACAGAATTATGGTGATTCCAATAGGAGATTTTCGTAGCCTCATAAGAACTTATAGTAATCAAAGAGGTTTTTCTTCTCCTGTAGAAATAAGAGTAAGTTGGGAGGGAAGGATGTGAGGGCAGGAAAAATCTTTCACCTTAGTGTTACTGAGGGCCAGTTTCCCATTAACAGGCTAGTCCTGCAGGACCAGTTCATTAACCATGAATGCTTTGTTTCTTCACAGAATGTTTTGCAGCCCTGATGAGCTTGGCTTTGAGTGCCTCCCCAGAGGAGGGAAGACTAACTGATGGGAACACAGCAGGCTAAGCCTACGTGTTCTAAGGAAAGTGTACAGTTGCTAATAAAGTGTTTGGATTTTTCTTTTCTTCTTTTCAGGTGCAGAAAGCTCTGGGGACCCTGATGTGCTGCTTGATATTTTGATCTCAGTCTAAATCTATGCAGTTTTTGTGCATCTAAAATTAGGTCTTCAGGAGAATGTATTACTTGATGTGTATTCAGAGAATGTAGAAGTAAAATAAGCGCATTTTATGAAAAAAAATGTTAGAAGTAAGTGAATCTGCAATGACCTTACACCCAAAAGAGATAGACTCATAGGGTCTAACATCACTGAATGAGACCTCAAGAGGCCAACCGCCCATCTCATTCACAGACAACATCTGAGAAGGCTGCATCCCCTTGAACACATACAATGATAAAAAAAAAGTCCCCATCTCTCAAGATAGTTCTTTTATTTTAAAGCCATTTCTAATTATTCTCTTATCAAAGCACCGGCCTCAGATTTGCTATTTGGGGTCCATGATACAAATCTAATTCCTAAGCCATTTTTTTCCGTCAAATTTTGGAAAACATCATGTCCTCTGTCAACATTATTTCAGATTAAAGAATCCCGATTCTTGTGGCATTTCTTGTAATATACTCTTCTAAGTCTTAGGAACCTTGTGCTAACATATTAGTTAGGACAGTTTGGTTGCATGTGACTGAAATCCAATGAAAACTAGTTAGGCAATGAGAAAAATGTATTACACATGTACTAGGATGTTTCGCAAAAATTCAACAATTTTGAATCAATTATTCTCTGAAATTTCTTTTAGTAATAAAGGTTTCTTTTTAAATATGATGAAAATGGGCTCAGTAATTTCTGACTAGTTCAAAGAAATATTTACCTATTATTTCCTATTTTATTGACTAGTATATGTCTACTACTGCAGTAGTTCTCAACCAAGCCATTGCAGGAGTAAAGAGTGTTTTATATGTGAATTATTATCTCATTGCCTGGATGTACTACCGGCAGTATTGGGTAAGGCCTATGGATCCTAAGTCTCTTGTCAAACAGAGACTGCTCTGCACGGTGAAAAATTATCCTACCCAAAACCCAGTAGCTGACCCATGAAGAAATGTTGTTAATATAGTCAAGGGTTTTGGAGCTAAATCACAATGTTAATACAAAATTCCCTTGCTGTAGCCTCCTCAACTCTTTTTTATGTGAAATTTCACTAAGCGAAATCTCTATCTTACCAATTTGGCAATTGAACTTTTGATTCCAGTTGCAGGTTTGTATTTTAAATTCTATTTTAGTTATTGTTTACCAATTACTTCAAGTTATTATTATTACTTTTTAAAATCTTGAGTAAGTCATTTTAGAGATACTGTAAAGTAGTGGCTAAGACACCGGCTCTAAATCAGACAGACATGAGTTTAACTACTCCCTCTACTGACTTTTAAGATGGGTGACCACAGGCATAATAATTAACCTCTCAAATAATGCATCTACCAGATGAGGATATAATGATTAGCTCATCCTTTGGCTGTAAATATAAAATAAAAGAGCCTAGAATAGAACTGTCCAATGTACTGTGACAGTTACACTGGTAGTCCTAATTATGATGATTCACAAATTTCATGAAAATGCCTTATATAGATTCCCTTCATTATTGATATGAATGTTTTCATATACCTGTACCATGTCCACAAGAGGCCTCTAGTTATAATGATCTTATTCCATTAATCCCCAGAAGAGAACCTTAACATAATAGGCAGCAGTTTTGTTGTCAATTATTTTTAGCTCTTAGGTCATAAATTGTCCATTGTGTATGTTTCTTCAGCTTTAGTTCCATCTACAGCATGTCCTACCATTCCTAGTCTTAAATGAATCCCCTTCTAGAGAAGAAGAAAAATTTGTTTCAAGTAATTCTGAACTCATGCTTTTCCAATGAAAAGCTAATTAGAAGAGTAAAGTCGCAAGTTTTTAAAATTAATCTATTCTCACATATATTTTAAAGTATTCACAGATATATGAAAATGTAGGCATAATTATTGCTCTTCATATGCAATCTTCAAATGTAATCATTTACATTCCCACATCAAAGATTATTGACTAGGCAGCTATCTGTGGATCCAAATAAATCATTAAATTCAGCCAAGCCCTGAGGCAGCATAGATCATTGGTAGAGCACATTGCTTAGGACCTAAATGAAATAGACCTATGTTCAACACATTTGTTGAGGGGTGGAAGGGGGAGAGAAAAGACCTGTAAATCCTGCTCAGATTTAAAGAAAAATAAAATAAACATTTGAAGATCCAAGTATATCTCTGTGTCCTGACTTGGTATCTTTGAAGCAATGAGAGAACTCAATTTGAAAAAGTCCACCCAAGAGCAGACTTATGGTAGGTTTCCTTAACCCTCCCATGGATAGACACACCGGATGTGCAGCTACTACTACGTTTTTTAGAGATGCCCCATTTGGGTCACACAGGAAAATGTGCTGTTTCCCATGTCCTGAGAACATAGTAGTAGAGAGAGCTCCATGTCAACATAGCTCATTAGACCAATTAAGAGTATGACAGGGAGGAGGATATGGGAGAAGGATGTCCTGCTACACTGCATGTGGCTGCACATGTGTGCTGTCCCCAGAGGGAGGCACAATAGCAGCATGGACCCAGCAACTATGTAGGAAAATACATGCCTGAGAGCTATGGATGCCCCCAGGTGATTCTATCATCTGTTCCTTTTTATAATAATTCCTCTCTCATCTTTTAAGTTTTGTAAGAATTCATCAAACAATATGTACTAGCTCCTGGAAAGGTATAGGGTTATAAAATTTTAAAAGTGCAGTTTATGCCCCTAGCTTAGTAGAAAATTAAAGATTTCAGGGTCTTCCATATGTAAAAGCTCTACCTCTAAGCCACATCAATTTATTCTTTCTGATATGTACATTATTGTTTACATGTAGAAAAATTTGTGAAGCATTATATATTAGAGTGGGAAGATATGTTTTGAAACCTAACTTGGCTGTCATACAATTTTGCATGATCCATATTCTAATAATAATTAGTGAGGGTCTATTGAAGATCTATTTCTTTTTTTTTTTTTTTTTTTTTGTGATGGAGTCTCGCTCTGTCGGCCAGGCTGGAGTGCAGTGGTGCGATCTCGGCTCACTGCAAGCTCCACCTCCCAGGTTCATGCCATTCTCCTGCCTCAGCCTCCCTAGTAGCTGGGACTACAGGCACCCGCCAACACACCCGGCTAATTTTTTGTGTTTTTAGTAGAGACAGGGCTTCACCGTGTTAGCCAGGATGGTCTCGATCTCCTGACCTCGTGATCTGCCCACCTCAGCCTCCCAAAGTGCTGGGATTACAGGCGTGAACCACAGCGCCCGGCCTGAAGATCCAAGTACTCTGGCTTCCTTTAATTCTGCCCACAAATCTCTGATACAGATTGTTTTACTTTACATTTAATAGATAAAGTAAAAAGTTTTAAAAAACCTATTTAGGTGAGCAAAGGAAAATACCTTGCCCAAGATCACAGAGTAAAATATCTAGATTAGGAATTGTGATAGTCACATGCTATACCATATTAAGAATGTATATATACACATACATTTATATATACATACAAATCAAAAATATTTTCACTTGATACTTTAAAACTTACCTTTAAAATGTTATATAGGCAAACATTCTATTTGAGTACATGCTTAGCATATGTTTATGTTAACATTATTTGAAATAATTATTCAGTAGTAGCTAACTAAACATAGTGTTTTAAAGTCTTCAGAGTATTTTTACATGTACTGTCATATTCCATGCCAAAAACTTACTACTAATAATAATTACTTTTTATCATTAAGAATTTTGCTAGGCTAGAGCATGCTAAATTAATCAAAGCAGATTTGATCTTCACATTTCACAAAGGAAGTAACTAAGAACCTACGACCTAAAATAACCTGCCCAAGATGACAGGGCAAATAAGCAGCAGCACCAGCACAGGCTCTAATCCAAATCTTCCGGCTTCGAGGCATGTGTGCATGGGAATATATGAGTGAATAGAGATTTGATATGTTATGGAATTTATACACTTGATCACCTTTCTCAGCCAGCAAGAGATGTATCAGAAATTACTATAAGCCTGGAAAATAGCTTGTACCCACTAAAATGTTGTATAAAATGTTTAAAACTCAACAACAGCATGGATCTTAGAAGTTTCCATTTCTGCTGCACACTTTAGTCATGAGCTTTCCCTTTACCGTGGAAAGCAGTAGCATTCTGAGTCAGATTAACTGTCTACATGTGAAACCAACACAGAATCGGGTATCCTCACCCCCTCTCCTAGGCCACTTCTGTAAAAGTCTGGGAATTAAATGTTTTTTTGTACATAGTTTCTTTTATTATGTGAAATCATGAGTTACTGCGAAAACAGGCAACTGAAAGCATAATATATTATCTGTTTAGATTTAGGACGCATCAGAGTATAAGTGCTATCTAAGCCAGGTTGTATTTATCTTATATTGGCCAACAAAAACAGCTGCTTCAGTACTTGAACCCATGGTTTTGGCTCCGTAGCTCTTTTAGTCAAATCAGGTAAATCCCTAATAAGATCAAATAACTGGCTTAATCATGGAATGAACATAGTAAAATTAAAATGTTGATTAACAAAATATCTATCATATGAGAAGCCACATGCATCATACCCATAACCTATATTGCGCTATTTTCATAAACAAGCGATTTAAACAAAGACGTTAGAGGAGCACAGTAACATCAAGGAAACAAAAAAAATTACATAACATTTAGATAAATACCTGTTCTGTCCTGGCATGCAAATTGAGTAGGGATAGAGTAGTTACACAGACTGTGCATTCTGCAGTCTGGCTATGGTCTGCTTGGAACTGCAACCGTGTTTTAATGGCAAATTCAGAGGGATGGAATGTATATTGCAAGCTTGACTTTTCTAATAATCTTTGCTCTGCTCTAACATTCCTGACTTCTATGGTAGTGGTAGCGTTTTATATTTTACAGAGTGAGATCATTTTAAAAATACTGTTATGCAGGCAATTAAGATTAAAGCCAACTTCCCCTTCACACTCTCAAGTAATATGCTTCTGTATCCAAAAGATAAGAACTTGAGAAATGACTCACTGGGACAGGCCAATGGGCCTAGAGTCCAGAAATCTGTCTCTGACAGTGACAGCAAAGGGTTTTTTAGGGGATTGCATGGTTACCCACCATGACATTACCCTGAAGAAGCAGGAAGTGTATATTAAGAACACCTGATGACCTTTAACAATCTGTTATGAATCTGACATCAAAATGTATCTAATCCTTTGTGAACTTATACATTCATTTGGCTTCTGATGCCTTTACTGCATCAGGCAGCCTAGGAGTAGGAGTCAAACATCCTTTGTTTCAATACAAACTGTTTCACTGCTGGTTGAATGAACTTGGGGAAATCCTTTTACTTCTCACAGCCTCAGTTTGTTTATCTGTAAAAAGCAACCGTAACTGTCCTGCCTACATAATCAAATTTCAAAAAGTTATTGTAAAGAACAAGTGAGAAAATTAACATAAAATGCAATGATCCAGATTTAAAAGTAACATTCTAATTACCTTACAGAATTCCCAGGCTCATCTCCCATAGCAAGTTACTGACTACTTGGAAGAGGTCATGGACATCTAAAAGGTGGAGTTCTCACTAGGCCATTCCTCTTTCAGATAATTAAGAATATTACATAAGAGCAGACAAACAGCTATATTCTTTGAATAGACAATTGTTAGTTTATATCACTCAGGAAATACAGTCTCATCTTTGCCTTTTTGTTTCTAAAAATAAAAATAATTGATTCAAAAATAATATTAAACACTTACTATGTCCATAGGCTACTGTTCTGATGACAAGTAGAGTTTACATTGTTTTATATGCCTATATTTACCGCTGATTTTAGAACTGGAACTCAATGTGGTTTTTAAGATTCAGAAACTGTTTCTTCATATGTTTGTTTGTGTCTCAAAAAATCTAAAATTTCTGGGAAGAATAACTGAGTCTTCCAGAAACCATGTTGTTTTTCTACAAGGAAGAATTAAAAGTTATACCATAAAATATATAGCTAAAAAAGGAACAATTCAGTGTGTGAGAAAAAAGAAATAAAGATGTAGAAGAAATTTGCCCTCAAAGAAAAATATACATGATCCAATCAATTTCCAAAAGATTATGATGATTCAAGTCATTAAACAAATTATCAAAATTTCAAATATTTTGAACCAGTTAAAGGCTCTTTTGCCTTCTTCAAAGCAGTTCCCAATTTGTAATTTTCTATCAGTTATCCACACTTTACCATTTCTGACATGTACTGACCTTTCCATATTAATAACTTCTTTACTGGATTTACAATTTTGCTAATACAGCTGTCAGGACTGTGTTTTTGTAAGATGTGAGGATGAGAGAGGTCAGCAGTTTCAGTAACACACTTTTTAGTAAGATCATGAATTTGTAAAGATGGTACAGAAGTACAGTTGCCTTTTCCAGATAATTTAAACTGGGAAATGCGATAGGAGACAGTGGGACATTGCAGATTAATGTATCTTAAGGAGCTCAAAGAGCAGATTTAGGGAGAAAGGAAGATTAAAAATTCCTGGAAGATGAAGCTTCTACTCCTTCAAAGACGTAAGAAAAAATACTCCCCAAAAAGTCTCTTTTTCACTTGTACCTTTACCAAGATCATTACTTTTTTAAAAGTCAGGTACAGTATTGTGCCCCCAAATGACCTACTCTGTAATTCCACTTTGCTAATGATCATTCTTCTCCACTTTTATTGAAACATTCATGAGGTAAACTCAGGAAGATAACAGGGGAATTCCTCTGAAGCCTGCACGGTGCTTTCAGTGTTTTAAGTGACACTCTATTAAGCCATCCTGTGTGATGGGTCAACATACTACATCTGAAACAATTCGATTTTAGACATGCTAACTGCTTTATCGCATCTTGCAGTCTCTAACCAAGTAGCATTTAGCTTCATCATTGTAGTCTCTTCATTTATTTTAAGACCAAGTCACAAGAACAACCTTACCTGATTTTAATTGCTCTGCCCAGTCTCTAAAATATTTGTAATTGTTATACATTTGAATCAAATTTATTAACAGACATATGGTTATAATAGAGAAATCACTCCAGCTGGTGAAGCCCCATGCTAAGCTGACAATAATTTGATCATTTGCAAATCATTGTTACTTGAATGTTTTCTTAGTACAGCTTAATTATGACTCGGCTCAGTCCAAAGTACAATTCACTTCCTGGGAAAAAAAAGAAATTGAATGCTCTCAACACAAGTAGGGCAAACTTTGTTATTTATGTAGATCTCTCCTGCACAACTGAACATCTGCTATTAAATGTGTTTCTAGTCTCCATGCTAGCTTTTACCTTCATCATTCAAACCTGGCATGAAATTTACATCAACTGAGAATTCATGTTATTTACTCATTGCTAACTATTACCATCCCATTAAATTTTAGCCTATAATACCCTCTGGAAAATTAGAAATGTTTATAAAAATAAATGTACAAATAAGACAGGGAGACATTTTGCCTTTTTCCCGCAGAAGCTCTTTGACAGGTGGTCACCTTGAAATTATGCTGTGATAGTACAGCCAATTTTAAAAAAATGGTCTTGATACAGAAGGTAATCAAGAGCTCTTGGGAGCCAGCTCTGCATTTTTCTAAGCAATCTTTTCTGCAGTTTAAATGTGTTCATACAAATCTTAAATGACATATAAAGCAATTTTTTCTTCCAACTATATAAATTAGTCATAGCATTGTAATTAAATGTCACAGAATGGCAAATAATTATCTTACTTAAATGGTTAATATAGGAAAAATCCATCAACTATCAGTCTTGAATATGTAAACATGGTACTTGAGATTGTACTGATATAATTAAACTTAAAAGCAGATTTTATTTGTGTGGCCACACCTGCCACTGACAAATCAAGTTTGAAAACTGTATTTGGCTACAGGTCTCACAAAGAGTCCACATCTCTTCAACTCTACTTCAACCCACCCATACTTAGGTTAAGTATTCAGGTATAGAAACTCTATGGTCTCTTCTTGCCAAAAAGAAACTTTGAGGGTCAGCGTATTCCATATGAGAGGCCTCGGAAATTTCTGATTAGTATCAATTTCCTTGCCACTTCCTGTCTTTCTCTTTTAACTGTTTCCTACGGCCTTGGCAGATTCTTGGAATTTATGCTACTAAAAATGAGGCCCTTGTTCACCTCTTCCATGGGATGAGGACTATACCTTAGGCTCATAGCTCACTCATGGCAGTTTAAGAAAACTGTACAGATCCTATCTTTCAGAATGGTACTTAACTTTGCAAAAGCCCATTGAACAATTCAGCAGTTAGGATGCAATGTGATACCACACTATCATATTCCTCTTTTCAACATCCCTTCCGCTTTATTATACTGGGGACCATTATCATCCTATTCTCCTGCTCAGCAGTTGCTTTGCTCACCAAAAACATACACTCCTAGGAAGAAATAAGGAGTTTGAGAGCACGTCCCTCTTAACCCTCTGACAGGGCCTAGGGCCCTTCTGAAAACTCCGTGCTCAGGTCCTAGTAGGAGTAACTAAAGTAAATGCAGGACAGAAAAGTTGATTAGGCAATTGGACCACATGGAAAGAACTACAAAGCAAACTCTATATTATTCCATTTCTTTGACCTTAATAATGCTCTACCATTTAGGGCAGAGGATCAGCCAATGAAGACCAAAAGAAAATAGATAAAAATATTATCCAGAACAGAGAAAGAGTATTTTTCCCTTTAGTCACTCTTGTTGAAGAGTTTGTATCAATCCACAGGGGAAGAAACCTGAACCACATTCTTGCAAACATGCACAATATATGTGTTACAGATATATTAAACAAGCAAGACTCCTGGGTATAGAGTAAAATAATGCTTCTTTTCTCTAAACAGCTCTTTAAAATGTGTTTAGTGGGGGAAGTTTCTTCCTTGATCCCTGATAAAAATTCCCATAATCCCATAACTTGTTTGATCAGTCTTAGGCAACAAGAAATCCTATGGTTTAATCACAATTAAATCTCAATTCAGTTATTTAAAATATCTAGTCCTAAAATAAATAAAAATTCCAAACTCATTGTGATGTTAAATCTTTTTCTATGTTACTGGACCTGTATCAAGCAGTAGGCCAGGGACAAGGATTGTGGTCCTTCTCTCCTCCCCTGCCTTGTGCTTATATCCCTCTCCTATCTTCCCAATCACATCGTATTTGGCAACAACCAAATGACTCTTACTTGATAAACTCCATTCCAAAGAACCAAAAAGGAGGAAAGTTCTCCCAAAATAGGTAAATAACATACAAGAAAAAAAAAGTTGCCAAATCTCACATCCCAAACTAGCTGCAACAATCCTATAATAATATTAGTAAGCTGCATCTATCAAATGCACATGGTATTTAATCACATTCCATCAGGCACAAATAGGGAAGGAAGAAAGGTAAAGGCAGAAAAGTTCTTTCCTTATGGGCATTCATTAAATTGACTTTGTACTCCCCAGATATGTCATGTATTTAAAGCTGACTTCATGTTTGGTGCCTAATTTTTTTAATTTAATATTTAAAAATTTTTAAATTTTTTAAAAAAGTGTTAATGCTATCTCACATCCTCTGGGGACTCTGAAGATCCAGGGAGAGCAGACATCAGAATTATCCCAAGCTAGGGTATCCCATTCCCTGATGGTTGAGGGTTGCCGGTCTGAGAATTAACCCCTCTGCAAACCCCATATTGAGAATGTAGTTATAAAGATTGGCTGAAATTTAGATTAAAGAAAGAATGAAGGAGGAGATCTAAAGAACAGTTAAAAAGTATTAGAGTTGGATAGAATTGTTATAAAAAATTGAAAACACAGGACACAGTTATGGGAGAGTGGGAGACTTGAAATAAGATTATGTACATGTTGCCGTTACTAGTCGTGAAAGGGACTGGTGTAGGACAATGGAAATGGATGGCTTAAGTAGGGTGGGGGACGTGATCATTGGAAAGCAGCGGTTGAATCGAACAGCCATTGTATTGAAAGATTATCTACTTAAATAATGAAATCTCCCCAAAATAACATGAGGGTCATGTTGGAGATACTGATAGTGAGCCAGGAGTTAAATCCGCAAATGAAATGAAGAAATGATCTAAAAGTTGGTACAACTAGAAAGGATAGTGTGCAATTACATACCCAAGGGTTGAGATATTGTTTAAAATCAGGAATGAGAGTTGAAGTACTGCCTAATTACTGACTGCTTTCCAGGCAGCACAGTGGGGTTATTTTAGGTTTGAAAGTGTGGAGGTGGTCCTAGAATGGCATCAGAGGGCTGCACAGGAGGCAGTATCTCCAGGGCCCAGGAATTAGAGTCTGAAGAAGCACTTAAAACTCTACCCACAAAACAACATCAATAAATACGGTCCAGAACATTTAAAAGATACCAATCTTTCAACCACCAAATTATTCCTACTTGATAAACTCCATTCCAAAGAACCAAAAAGGAGGAAAGTTCCCCCAAAATAGGTAAATAACATACAAGAAAAAAAAAGTTGGCAAATCTCACATCCCAAACTAGATGCAACAATCCTATAATAAAATTAGTAAGCTGGATCGATCAATTATTTTTGAAATCACAATAAGACTGAGTTTGTTAAAAGAATGGAAGAAAGGTTAACATGTAATTTATTCACCATGTTATTAAAGGAGAAAAATTAAAAGCTTATATTCATCTCAATAAATGCCCAACATTTTGATAAAATTTAACACCCTTTTATGATTTAAAAAACAGCAAACTAGAAATAGAATGGAATTTCCTTAATCTGAAATAGCTAATCAAAAGCCTATAGCAACTTTTATTCTTAATGGCATATCATTACATGCTTAACAAGCATGAGCAGAAACACAACTCTTCAGATGAAATCACCAAACAATTTAATTTTGTTTTTCTATCATCTTTTGGTTCTTTACTCTCTTTTGAGTTTTATCTCAGTTTGATGAGTTTGCATTGTTTAAAAATTGTATTAAGCATTCTAAGTGGAATTACACTGAATTATTGATTTATTTGAGAATTGTTATCTTTACAGTATTTATTCTGCTTAAATAAGATCAATAAATATCTCCTCATTTTATAGATCTGTTGGGCCCTGAAGTAATGTTACATTTCAAAGTTTTTAAACAACATTTATGGAATATTTTCTTGAGTACTTAATTGTTTTTGTTGCTATTATAAAATGCACATATATTGAAATTTTACAATGTGCTATTGCTGGATGTAGACAAAACATTGATTTTCATATGCTGATTTGTTTGCAGCAAAGCTTCAAACTTTATTAATTCATAAGGCTATCTATAGATTTGTTTAGATTTTCTATGTGGTTAGTCATACCATCTGTGAAAAAAGGAGGGTTTTCTTTCTTCTTTCCAATTCATTGAGTTCTTATTTCTTTTCCTGATCTCACTGTGTCCATCTGGTAATTGTAGAGGAGAAGTAGTGGGTGACAATGGTCAGTCTTTCTTCTTCCTGTTAGTCATGGATATTTGCCATTCTTTTGGCCAACTAACACCTGAACTTCCTCCCTAGTAGAAATCCTAACAGGAGGCACAGCTCACCCTTAAAGTGAAAGCTAAAAATGTGATGTTCACTTTTCCAGCTCTAGGCCACTTCAGAAGGGCCATGTGACTTAGGCTCCTTCAATCAAACGTACCCTCTGCCAGATTGGATGAGTCAGCTAAAAACAAGCAAGCAGCCAGGGCAGCGGAGCACTTTTTCTGTGTAATGCAGTGATTATAATCTCTGCAAAATCAAGTTTGCAGTGCAGAAGTGACAGTGGAACAGGTGGCGGGGGCTTTACTCTAACACTGAATTCCTACAGCACAAAGTGCTGCTGTGCAAACCAGGAGCATTTGGCATTTAACTGCGCTCAAATGATCCAACAATTTTTTTTTTTTACCTATCTAATAACCTTTTTGAAAGCCTACTTGCTGTTAAATCAAGCAATCCTCCCACCTCAGCCTCCTGAGTACCTAATATGTGCCATCATGCCCAGATAATTTTTTTGTGGGGGGCAGGGGTTAGTGGGTAGAGACGGGGTCTTGCTATGTTGCCTAGGCTGTTTTCAAACTCCTGGCTTCAAATGATCCTCCCGCCTTGGCCTTCTGAAGTACTGGAATTACAAGGATGAGCCACTACGCCCAGCCTTGCTGAAGCATTATTTAATTTAATTTAATTAATTAATTAATTTATTTTTTGAGATGGAGTCTCTCTCTGTCACCCAGGCTGGAGTGCAGTGGCGCGATCTCGGCTCACTGCAAGCTCCGCATCCCGGGTTCACGCCATTCTCCTGCCACGGAGGTATTTTTATAACAGTTTTGCATTTGCCTTTATATACCATCATGGAGTATTATTAGCTCAAGCCCACTTTCAATGTCATTTCTAAGCTAGAGGTTTGATATATCATTTAGTTAATATTGTCACAACGAATTCAGGAAAGATACAATTTCAGGCACAGATTTCTCACAGAAATGTATTGCCATCCAAAGCATGACAGAGTAAGGATTCTATATTTTCTTAAACACGTTTTGGAGTTGTGGTCGTTCCACGGTCCTGATTGATGAGAAACTCTTAGTTTTATTGCTCTGCCTTGCAAAACCCTGCAGTTTTTTTTCCCATTCTTATGTGGGCTTTAAAGACCAGAAGAAAATTCAACTTCTTACTATGATTGAGTGTCTCGTATCAGAACAACCAGAACAACTTTCTCAGTAAATATGAGAGCCAAATAATGAGGAAGAGAGAAAAGAGAGAGATAGAGATAGAGACAAAGCTAGAGAAAGAGGGAGCAGGGGCACAATTGTTTGAACGCTTTGAAAAGCAATTAAGGCAGGCAGAACTCAAAGTGCCAAGATACTGGAGAAAAGTAAAACGCCCTGAGATAGTCTTACATTCAAGGTCATTTCAAGACATTTGACAATTTGAGGTAGAGACATGAGGCAATATGAAGCCTCAGCTTAGAGCTTGTGAGAGTATCACTGAATTGCAGAGACAAATATGAATTTGGTGCTAACCCAACCCTTCAAGACTTGGAAAGGCACCATGCCAAAGAAAAGGCACTCACACAAAAGTGAGTCCAATGTTTAGCTCTTATTTTCCACTTGAGGCATTTGATGATTTCTAAGCAAGGTGTATTTTAGGCAAGGCTCTGAAAAATAAAGAAAAAAAGTAGCTGCTAAGAGAATAAAAAAGCCAAGAGGATTTCCGGCATTTTCATGGAGCTAGAGAAACCAAAATTTGAGTTCAAGACTCATCAAAAAGAAGCACCATAGTAAATACTGTAGGTTTCCAGCTGAGATTTCTAAAATGGGCAGATTAAGGTGATCTGTTCATATTTTATTTGCCTTCCAAAATAAGGTTGAATTATCTCTGCAGGAATATAACATCACACAGAGCCTCTCAATTTTGCATACTCAGTATCCAGCAATCATTAAAAACCGTCTATCTGTGTTAGGAAACAGAAGAAAATTACTAAAAGCCAAGAGAAAAAAAGTTTTTAAATATATCCATAGGTTATCCAGATATTTAAGTTATCATACAGGAAGTTAGAAAATATTATAATCAGAAAAAAAGAAAAAATATAGAGAATTTTGCCAAATATTAAAATGCATTAACAAATATATCAGAGGGAAAATCTAAAACTGAAGTATAACCAACTGAAAGCAAGACAAAATGGATAGACTGAACAGCAGATTATAGAGGAATAGAGGATTTGTGATCTAAAAAGATAAGATTAAAACTAGCTTTAGCATTCTTTACATTAAGAAACATAAATATTTAATATGTATTCACTTTAAGTCTGGATGATAGGCATAATTTTAACTTTTTGAAAAGTTTACTTTGTTTTTAGAGGTTCCATCTGGATGCCCAAGTGGATTATCCCATGAGGCAAGCCACCCAGACCAGTAGATGTGGCTGAGTGTAAAAACAGTCTAAAATGGGTGGTAACAAAGGACATGACATGTATCAATAATGACCCTGGGACCAAATGCAGAAAGGGAGGCTGTTGTTTTTCCTGTCAACGTTGCTCTTGTAAGTTTTCCCAGAAATGTTAGCTAACAGGAATCCTGGAAAAGCTGCAACAGGATGGAGTGAATATGAAAAACAAGTGCATCTCAGTAATGCAAGGCATAGGCTATAGAAGATACTACTGATGGTTTACCCATACACAGTTGGATTCCTTTAACTAGGCTGATGTTCTCCATTCTCCAGCTTCTATGAGTGCTGCTGCTAACAGCTCACACCTGCAAACTTCGCTGGAGAGTTCTTGCTTCTCCAAAAGTGCCTGAAATTATATCCATTCTCCCCCCAGGGGAGATTATAGCCAATAACTGGCTGTTGGAAGGAGGTACAGAAGCTCCACAAAAGCTCTGCTACTCTTGCCTCAAAGTGTGTGTGGTGTGCGATGGATATACAGTTGACCCTTGAAAACCACAGGTTTCAACTGTGCAGGTACACTTATATGTGGATTTTTTCCAACCAAATGCACACTGAAAAAACAGCTCTCGTGAGATGCAAAACATGCACTTGCACTGGGTCAAATTTTCTTATAGGTGTGTTCCACTGAGCCCACTGCAGTACTTGAGTGTGCACAGATTTTGATTTAGGAAGGGATCCTGGAACCAATCCCCCAAGGGACAGGCACAACTGTGCTCTGTTTCTACATTTATGCTCAAGAGCTTCTCACATGATCAGGCTGATGCTGAATTCCACTTGAAGCTCTTTCTCACTTAAATTTACCCCTTCCCTGTCCTATTTTCTCATCCTCCAAAGGATTCCCCTTAAAAATCACCTGCACTTGAATATTTGTCTCAACACCTGTTTCTAAAGGATCCAACTTAAGATACTTCCAAAAATGAGTTTAAAAAAAATAGGCATGGCACAAATTAACACCATCGGGAATAAAAAAGAAGACATTACTAAGTGGCAACCGTTACAAAGATAGCAAGAGATTATTATTAACAACTTTATGTCGATATGTTTGAAAATAGACATGTTCTTTAAAAACAACTAAGAAAATAAACACGAGGAGAATATAAAATCTGATTATCCAATGTCTATTAAGATACTGAATTTATAATTTAAAGCTTTCTTAAAAGTAAACTCCTGACCATATGGCTTTATGGGTAAAATTGTTTAAACATTTAAGAATAATATTCATTTTAGGAAAACACTACCAGGGAATAGAAAAATAAAAACATGATCTTAATATGCTTAATAATAAAACTTGGTAAGGACAGCCAGGGGAGGCAGTTCATGCCTGTAATCTCAGTACTTTGGGAGGCCTAGGCAGGCAGATCATCTGAGGTCAGGAGTTTGAGACCAGCCTGGCCAACATGGTGAAACCCCGTCTCTACTAAAAATACAAAAATTAGCCAGGTGAGGTGGCATGTGCCTGTAATCCCAGCTACTCAGGAGGACATGGCAGGAGAATCACTTGAACCCAGGAGGCGGAGGTTGCAATGAGCTGAGACCGCGCCATTATACCCCAGCCTGAGCGACAAGAGTGAGAGCGAGACTCCATCCCCACCCCCCACCCCAAAAAAGTCAATAAATAAATAAATAACAAGACAAAACAAAACCTAATGAGGACATTATAACAAAGGATAGTGAAAATTCAATACCTCACAGAAATGTAGATGCAAAATCTTAAAATAACAACAAATTTTGACTAGAGATATATAAAACTTATAGAGGAGTACTAGGAAGTTTGTTTTATTCAGGAATGTAAGGGTACTTTAATATTTATAAGTTAGTCAATGTAATTAACTGCACTAACCAAATAAAGGTGAAAAATCATATTGTTATCTCATTGGGTACAGAAAAATTTGGTAATATCTAACATCTACTCATTATAAAATCATTCATAAATTAAAGACAGGAGTAATATTCCTCAATCTAATAAATCTAATAAAAGCAGCTACTAAATATATGTGTGTATTATATATACAATACATATATATTACATATATAATATATTATATATACAATACATATATATTACATATATAATATATTATATATACAATACATATATATTACATATACAATATATTATATATATAATACATATATGTTACATATATAATATATTATATATAATACATATATTATATACATAATACATATATTATATACATAATACATATGTAATATATAATACATATGTGATATATAATACATATATTATATATAATACATATATAATATATAATACATATATTATATATAATACATATATAATATATAATACATATATAATATATAATACATATATTATATATAATACATATATAATATATAATACATATATAATATATAATACATATATTATATATAATACATATATAATATATAATACATATATTATATATAATACATATATAATATATAATACATATATTATATATAATACATATATAATATATAATACATATATTATATATAATACATATATAATATATAATACATATATTATATATAATACATATATAATATATAATACATATATTATATATAATACATATATAATATATAATACATATATTATATATAATACATATATAATATATAATACATATATTATATATAATACATATATAATATATAATACATATATTATATATAATACATATATATATAAAATACACACACACATATTCAAGCATTGCACTTAGTGGTGAAATGTTGAAAGGTTTTCCTAGGCATTTATGGATTAAGACAATAACGACTATTCTTACTTTTATTCAACACTACACTGGAGGTCCTAGACAGTGCAATAAGGAATAAAAAGTAAATGAAAGTTTTAGGAATTGCAAAAGTAGAACTAAAGCCATTATTGTCAAATTTTGTAGGTATTTAGAATATATAGTTCTAAATTACAAACATAAACTAGTAGATTTTTTTTAAAACTTTAGGAAACTTTTATATAATATCAACATAGAAATTTCCATTTTATCTTTTGTATTTTATATATAGACAATTAAAAAATCAAACATTTAAAAGTTACTATATATAAGACCTCTACACAGAAAAGAGAAAACAATAATAATAAAAAATAAAGAGTGGATAAATAAGTGGCTATATTATGATCATAGTTTAAAGATTTAATATATAAACTTATTAATAGGCTTAATTCAAAGGTAATATACTTGCAGATATTGACTAATTGTAAAACTATACAAATTAAAATAGTGTGGCATTCACACAAGAGTATTCAAATAAACCAATTATAAATACAATAAATAAAACATATATACAGTTGCCTGAACAATATAAATTTTCAATAAATAGTACTCAAGCACTACATAGATATTAAATAGATAGCTCATTATGTTGACTTTTTGTCTATGCCTCTTTCTGTTGTTTTATCTCAGGGTCTAATTTTATCAGCTTTTTTTTTTCCCTCTTGTTTATTGCTGAAGTGTCTTTTCTTCTTCATATGTTAATAAGTCATTATTGTGTTCTGGATTTGCCGTTCTGCAATTCTCTTTATTTACTGCTCTGCAGCCTCCACTGGTGATATCCAGTCAACTAGGGTCTGGAGTGGACCTCCAGCAAACTCCAACAGATCTGCAGCTGAGGGTCCTGACTGTTAGAAGGAAAACTAACAAAAGAAAGGACATCCACACCAAAACCCCACCTCTACGTCACCATCATCAAAGACCAAAGGTAGGTAAAACCACAAAGATGGAGAGAAACCAGAGCAGAAAAGCTGAAAATTCTAAAAATCAGAGCGCCTTTTCTCCTCCAAAGGAATGCAGCTCCTCGCCAGCAACGGAACAAAGATGGAAGGAGAATGACTTTGGTGAGTTGAGAGAAGAAGGCTTCAGACGATCGGTAATAACAAACTTCTCTGAGCTAAAGGAGGATGTTCAAACCCATCGCAAAGAAGCTAAAAACCTTGAAAAAAGATTAGACAAATGGCTAACTAGTATAAACAGCCTAGAGAAGACCTTAAATGACCTGATGGCGCTGAAAACCATGGCATGAGAACTATGTGACGCATGCACAAGCTTCAGTAGCCAATTCGACCAATTGGAAGAAAGGGTATCAGTGATTGAAGATCAAATGAATGAAATGAGGTGAGAAGAGAAGTTTAGAGAAAAAAGAGTAAAAAGAAATGAACAAAGCCTCCAAGAAATATGGGACTATGTGAAAAGACCAAATCTACGTCTGATTGGTGTACCTGAAAGTGACGAGGAGAATGGAACCAAGTGGAAAACACTCTTCAGGATATTATCAAGGAGAACTTCCCCAATCTAGCAAGGCAAGCCAACATTCAAATTCAGGAAATACAGAGAACAGCACTAAGATACTCCTCAAGAAGAGTAACCCCAAGACACATAATCATCAGATTCTCCAAGGTTGAAATGAAGGAAAAAATGTTAAGGGCAGCCAGAGAGAAAGGTCGGGTTACCCACAAAGGGAAGCCCATCAGACTAACAGCAGATCTCTTGACAGAAACTCTACAAGCCAGAAGAGAGTGGGGGCCAATATTCAACATTCTTAAAGAGAAGAATTTTCAACCCGGAATTTCATATCCAGCCAAACTAAGCTTCATAAGTGAAGGAGAAATGAAATCCTTTACAGACAAGCAAATGCTGAGAGATTTTTGTCACCACCAGGCCTGCCTTACAAGAGCTCCTGAAGGAAGCACTAAACATGGAAAGGAACAACTGGTACCAGCCACTGCAAAAACATGCCAAATTGTAAAGATCATCGACACTAGGAAGAAACTGCATCATCTAACAAGCAAAATAACCAGCTAACATCATAATGACAGGATCAAATTCGCACATAACAATATTAGCTTTAAATGTAAATGGGCTAAATGCTCCAATTAAAAGACACAGACTGGCAAATTGGATAAAGAGTCAAGACCCATCTGTGTGCTGTATTCAGGAGACCCATCTCTTGTGCAAAGACACACATAGACTCAAAATAAAGGGATGGAGGAAGATCTACCAAGCAAATGCAAAACTACAAAAAAGCAGGGGTTGCAATACTAGTCTCTGATAAAACAGACTTTAAGCCAAGAAAGATCAAAAGAGACAAAGAAGGCCATTACATAATGGTAAAGGGATCAATTCAACAAGAAGAGCTAACTATCCTAAATATATATGCACTCAATACAGGAGCACCCAGATTCATAAAGCAAGTCCTTAGAGACCTACAAAGAGACTTAGACTCCCACCCAATAATAATGGGAGACTTTGACACCCCACTGTCAACATTAGACAGATCAATGAGACAGAAAGTTAACAAGGATATCCAGGAATTGAACTCAGCTCTGCACCAAGGGGACCTAACAGACATCTACAGAACTCTCCATCCCAAATTAACAGAATATACATTCTTCTCAGCACCACGTCACACATATTCCAAAATTGACCACATAGTTGGAAGTAAAGCACTCTTCGGCAAATGTAAAAGAACAGAAATTATAACAAACTGTCTCTCAGACCACAGTGCAATCAAACTAGAACTCAGAATTAAGAAACTCACTCAAAACTGCTCAACTACATGGAAACTGAACAACCTGCTCCTGAATGACTACTGGGTACATAACGAAATTAAGGCAGAAATAAAGATGTTCTTTGAAGCCAATGAGAACAAAGACACAACATACCAGAATCTCTGGGACACATTTAAAGCAGTGTATAGACAGAAATTTATAGCACTAAATGCCCACAAGAGAAAGCAGGAAAGATCCAAAATTGACACCCTAACATCACAATTAAAAGAAGTAGAGAAGCAAGAACAAACACATTCAAAAGCTAGCAGAAGGGCAAGAAATAACTAAGATCGGAGCAGAACTGAAGGAGATAGAGATACAAAAAACCCTTCAAAAAATCAATGAATCCAGGAGCTGGTTTTTTGAAAAGATCAACAAAATTGATAGACTGCTAGCAAGACTAATAAAGAAAAGAGAGAAGAATCAAATAGATGCAATAAAAAATGATAAAGGGGATATCACCACCGATCCCACAGAAACACAAACTATCATTAGAGAATACTATAAACACCTCTGTGCAAATAAACTAGAAAATCTAGAAGAAATGGATACATTTCTGGACACATACACCATCCCAAGACTAAACCAGGAAGAAGTGGAATCGCTGAGTAGACCATTAACAGGCTCTGAAATTGAGGCAATAATTAATAGTCTACCAACCAAAAAGAGTCCAGGACCAGATCGATTCACAGCCGAATTCTACCAGAGATTGCTACCTTGTTTAGAATCTGGATTAAATTACGTTCCTTTAAGTGGTGATTTGTTTTGATAGGCAGTTGATTGATTGGTGACTATTTTTTGGAGATTCAATTTTAGGCTTTGTTAGACTATATCTGTGTCAGGGAGTATTGACATGTTGTATCAAATTGTTTTGATACATTGTTTTGATGAATTTCCTGTGTGTTGCAGGATAATTAGAAGTTTCTGTGAATTCTACCCACTTGATGCCAGTAATGCTTTCCCCATAATTGTGACAAATAAAGATGTCTCCATACATTTTCAAATTTCCTCTCCAGGGAAAAATTGCACAAGTTGAGAACTACTCATAGAGAGTAGCCCTTACTCTAAAGCCACAGTAGCCCTGCTCCTAAAACAGGAAAATTTTGACATATCTTCTTAATGCCTGGAGCCTTCAGTGAACCTCTAGTACAGCTGATTGTGACTCCTACTTGTCACAGCCTTACTTCACCACTCTGCAAAATTTCATGGAAACTCATCCTGAACATGTGTGGCTTAGTGTTTAGCCAAAAGCTCAAAGAAATGATGCCTTCACTCTGGCATGCTGTCCCGTAAATCTCAGGCTCCTTAGAATGATCACATTTGCCTGTTTGGGTATTTTCAAACTTCTCTGTACCACAGTTTGAAAATACCCCTCAAATGAAATGAGAGTAATTATAGAGTTTCTCTTGAATGTTTCTTTCTCTCAAGGATAAGAGCTCTGAGCCAGCTATTGTCTAATGCCTAAAAACTGATACTTTTTGTGTTTTATCCAGTTTTAGGATTTGTTGCAGTAATATAAGTCCCATATGTAATATTTTATCATGGCCAGAACCAAAATCTCTGATTATCTATGTGGAAAAAAAAATGTATCCTGACACTACCTCATAGCATTCATAAAAACAATGAATTATAAATAGAAATATAAAAGGTAAAATAATAAAACTTCTAGAAGAAATCATGTGGTAAGCAAAGGTTTTTTTAAATAAGACACAAAAACGTGACTGTAAAGGAAAAATGTATAAACTGAATTTCATCAAAATTAAAAAGTAAAATGCAATCTGTAAAATAAAATAAGGTTTTACAATATGTGTTTATCATGTATATGTTAAAATACATACAGATATATAAGAAAAAGAAAGACCACACATTTAGTAAAACAGATGAAATATTAAACACTTCATGAAAGAGGATATTCAAATGGATCATAAGCATATGAAAAGGTACTCTATTTCATCATAGATTTGTAAAAATGCAAATCAATACCATAAGGAAATATGACTTTAGGATAGCTAAACTTTAAAACATTATCTAATATGATATGACAAAGTATGGAACAATCAACATTTTTGTATGTTTTTGGTGGGGATATAAACTGGTACAACCCCTTTAGAAAACTGGCAATATCTACTATATTGGAACACATATACATTCTACGTCTTAGCAATTCTGCTCCTAGGTATATTCTCAATATATTTTGACCAAAAGACATAAAAAAATTTCAGAATTATTGCTAATATTCTCAAACTAGAAATCTACCAAATTCTTACTAACAATAAATTAATTGTGGTATATTCATCCAAAATAACACTATATAGCAATGAAAAATAACAACTTGTATGTTTAATAACATGCACACATTTTATAAATGGTTCAGTGAAAGAAAGTGGACATATATACACTGCATATTTCACTTACCTAATGTTGAAAAACAGACAAAAGCAACTTATGGTGAAGGACGTGCTTTCCATCTGAAAAAAAAAAAAATAAAGCCTGCAAGAGAGCATAAGGAAAGCTGGGATGCTCATACATTTTATAATTTGATCTAGACGGTGGGTATACAGGTATGTCCTATTTGTAAAAATGCACTGATCTCCATAAATGCAATTTCTTCACTTTATACTGTGTAACTCATGCTTCAATAACAAATGTAAAAACAAATGCAAAAGTGAGTCATTATTGGACTGCTGTCTCCTTATAACTCCCAGCCATCATCTTACTCGCTACGCCCCTGGTGCCCAGTTCCTACTTTGGTTTTGACACTTAGAGACATCTTTCATTTCTTACCACATAATCCATGGATTACATATTGCTATAGATTATCCAGAACTTTTTTAGATTAATGGAACAGTTCATCCTTGCCTAGTAGTCCATGTTTTCAGAAACATAAACTGCGTGTGGGAATATAAACTGATTTAATCTGTGTCAAATATAGTTTGACAGTTGCATCAAAAGCCTTACATTTCACTCATTTTTCACATCTCCATTCACAACCCCACTTCCAGGAATTTTAGATTAAGAAATTATTTGATTATGTGTCTAAGTATGCACACTGTCAAAACAAAAAAGTTACAGCTGGCTACAGCTATATTATCTAAACAAAAACAAATCCTGAAAACAGCTTAAGTGTTGAACAACAGAAGATTGGATACATAAATTATAGCATATACTTAAAGTGAATGGCTAGACAGACATTAACATGATGATGCTGAGCTATGTTTAGTGTCAGTATTTTTCATAATATAGTGTTGTTAGGAAAGAGAACACAGAACACCATATATTATATTAGACCCATTTCATAAAAAATGGAGATAAATATTCATGAAAATATGGACAAAATGCTGACAATGATATTTCTGGGTGCTGTGCATTTGAAGAATTTTCTTGGTTTTTATTTTGCATATTTATGCTTTGTAATTTTTACACAATTAATTAGATACCAATGATTTCACAACCAAGAACTAAGTGCTAATGTGTTTATTTTTAAGGAAAAATGTTTTTATAATAAATATATTGAGTTAGAATACAATAATATGATGAGATAAACCAAAATCCTAAGGAGACATAGTGATGTCTCAATGTCATGTCTATTCAAACCGTTAATAAGTTTGGCTTCTGCCCTTTCGTGACAAATGAAATATGTGGAAGAATGAAAGCTGTTTTGTATTCTGCTGTTGTGTTAAAAATGAATGAAAGTTTATCTTTTCACTATTCTGTTGTTTTTAACTTAAAGAAAGCATTTCATTATGATCCTATGTTGTGTGTTCCTATTGCTTTAACTTACCCCACTGTTTTAGAAACACACAAATGAATAATTAACTAACAACTTAGAAGTTTTATGTGGTCAGTCTCTGTGTACTAAGCATACAGTGTTTGTTTACTCCTTAATTTCGTATGCATGACAAAGTAGTAAAGCATAAACCAAGGTGAATCCAGTTCAGCAAAGTCACAAAGTGATTGGAGTAACTAATTGAGAGGTAAAAACTAGCAAACATAAGAGACAATATATATATTTTTATCATCAGACTTTTACTTAGGAGAAGCTGACAAGACTGGATATCTAGGAAGTTTATTAAATTACTTCTTAAGTGGAAGTGTTATGAGGTCACAGTGGAAGGAAAGATAGTTCTTTATATTATTTGAAGAATATATACATATAAGTAAAGCCTCTAATTATGACTGCATGTGGCTTTTCTTGTAAATTCAAATAAATATATTTTTTAAATTGCCTAAATTATCAGCACTTTTGAAATATAAAGAAGAGTGGTCGCTTTAAATCAAGACTAAGCATTTATCTGTTCATTATAGCTGGCCTTGTCAGGATTAGCCCTTGTATCCTATTAGGACTATATATAGGGCCATGTTGGAGACCACTGTCTATATAACAGGCATTTGATATTTAAATTCTCCTGCAATCCTGATCATCTATAACCTTAGGAAAAGTAAAAGACTTATTTCGTTACTATATAGGCAACCTTTCTGGCTTGGAGCTTGATGCCAGTGTGGTGCCATATTTGATTTCCCTCTCTAAGGGTGCACGACTCTTTTTAGTGTGCTCATGTGTTCCTTGACATCTGTGCTCTCCACTGCATCACTGGCAGTGGACTATCAGGAGGGTTAGTTCACTAACAGCTTGCTGATCTGGATTTCTTATGAAAATCTTAGGCTCGAGATAGGGTTTCCCTAGACTACAAGATTCAAAAGGCTTTATCATAAGCTTCTAGGTGTCTCCAAAACTACAGAAGTGCCTTTATTTTGTGTATACCAATGTCACTCCCCCCACATATCACTCCTATATGCTTAATTTTTATGGTGCTTAATGTACTTTAAAGTCATGGTGTTGTGGACTTGTCTGAACATGCATTGTTGCCAACATTCTAGTCCCATGTTGTCTTCTTAAGTATAGCTAGATAGAAACGAAATTAAATAAGATTGGACTGACAACATATTCAACAACCTGGCAGCTGCTGGAAATATTACCATAAGGCTATTGTCAGGCCGAATTCTCTATAAGCCTAAAATACTGCTCTCCTTCCTGAATGATTGGAATCCAGATATTGACTAGCCAATATCCTTAGAGTAGTTATCAAATCATAAGAATAATAAAGAATATGGTCAAGAAATCCAGAAAGCAATATTTTCACTGTAATTAATATCCTGAGAAAAAAATCATTATAGTCTACTAGGCCAGACTTTGCTCAATTTTCATACAGAATTTAAACTTAATACATAGATAACATAAGAAAATGATAAGTATGTTTCATTTCATGTTTCATCAGAAAGCAAAGAGATGGGAAAAGTAGCCATTTAATTGCTTTCCTAATTTCCCAAACTGATTTGGGTTTAGTTTTACAGGACATAGTATGAAAGTTTATAGATTGCTTAATAGCTTTTCTTTGGTGGGCATACTTTCATTTAATAACTTTTACCACTATCCACATACAGCAGAGATTAAAGTCAGGCTAATATCTGGGTCCTATGATTCATGTTACATCTAATCAGATTTCACTAATATTTATGAAACTCAGGCCCAATTTTAATTCCCACCAATCGCATCATCTATATTTTGTGAAAGCATGTAAAGAAATTAACATGTAGACTTTTTAGCCCAGAGCATTCAGTTTAGTGATGTAAGTGCTCACTCCAAATACAAAATAGCTAGAGTTAGCAAACGGGGATTCATTTCATTGTGATTCATACAACACATAGGTATTTAAAAAATTAGGAAGCTTTCACAGATGACTTCCTAGGAGCAGATGTAGTACTAACATAATTCTTCAACCTACCACACAGCATCACAGACATCAGGCCATAAATTTGGTGAGCAATTCTGTATTCCATGGCCTTTGTTTTCCTCATAGGCCACATATCACCTAGAGAAACCACAATAGTCCTTCTTACAGTTTATATTATTTTAGTAACAGTCAGAAACCTTGACAATCGTTTTGTGACTTATAATCTCCTGTTTATATAACAAGATTCCTTAAAGTATGGTTGCATTTGTGTGTTTATTACCACACAGTTAAGAAAAAAAAACAGTCTTTGCAACTAAACCCTTTTATGCTCTTTTTTATCCATACCAACTCTATTTTTAAACAGAAGATGTTATATTTCCCAGTGTTCAGATAAAACAAATAATATAATTTTCTAGTTTCTCTCTGGCTTCTCCTCAAACTGAAGCCATCTCTGGGCAGAGACCATGATTTGAGGCAGAGAATAAGAGGAGAATTTAGAGGCTTGAGACTCACTGTTGTAACTGTGAGATTTTTCTCAGGTTACGTAGCATCTGTGTGACTCAGTTTCCATCTTTAAATTTGGAATTATAACACTTGTTCTTAATTATTTTACCAAAATGTAATGAAAGCTAAATGAGGTTAAAGTGTCTTGGAAATAAAACTGCTGCATAAATCAAGATGTGGTATTTTGGAGTAATTATTATAGCACATCATCTAATGTGCTAATGACAGCTAATGACAGCTAATAAATCATTTAGCATGTTAGTAACAAAAACTACTAATTATGCTAAGTCAATAGTGTCCTGATATAATTCTGTATTTTGTTCCTGGTAACTCTTTTGACATGGACAGTCTCTCTTTCTCACCACTCAGTGCTTTGCCAGCATTTTCTTTAATCTTATCAGATCTCTTTGATTTAATTGAAAAGTCACTCCAGAAGAATGTCATTTTTCTTGTGTCTCTTCAACAAAGTAATATAATTAAGACTATGCAAAACAGAGAAGATTCCCAGAGTGCCAGGTAAGAGTGAAGGCCTGTGAAATCCCAAAATTAGGAATTGCTGTAGTCAACATAAATAATTGACATTTAGATGACCTAATTAAAACAAATTACATCTCTGCGGGAAGAAAGTTATAATTTTAAACGTAGGATATTCTTGAGAAATAATAGACAAATATCTGAAATAGGGTTTTATATTTTCTATAAAAATCATGAGAAAATTGGCTTCATTCTCAACAAAATAATATTAAATAAATGAGAAAAGTATGGAAATTTGAAAATACATAAGAAATAAAGTATTATTAAATATTCTTAAGGTAAACTAGCAGAATAGTTAAGTGCGACTACTCTAGAGCCAGATAACACTGGCTTAGATCATGTCTATGCACATTTCTTAATCTTTCAGTGCCTCAGTTTCCTGTCTATAAAATGGAGACCCCAGAGGTCTCTTGTGAAGATTAAATAATTTAATACATGTAAAGTGTCTTGAACAGTGCCCAAAGTATAGTAAGGATTTGGCAAATCTCCAATTTGTAGTAATTTTCATTTTTTTTACACATTGAACTAATCTAGTGATGAAAAAAATGAAAGCATTATAACAAATAAAATGAGCAACTTACCTGAATGTTTTTACATGAAATTTACTTTCAGAATTTCTTAAGGAAAAAAAATATATTTTTTCACATGGAAACTACATTCTTATTCCAGAAGGACTTCATTACCTCTTCTTTTTATGACGCAATAAATGTCTGTTCAAAATCCCTCAAACATCAGAAATGTGTTTTTCTTTTGGAAATGTATCAGCTATGCTCTAAATTCTCTAACAGGTTTGAATTTTTCTCATTGTCAAATCATCTTTAATAAACAAATGAAATTATAGATGTTGACACCACAGGGGGAAAAAAAGACACCTTCAAATTCTCTTTATGAAGAATTTGGTGCCTTGAACATAATGTCCATTTACACTAATGGAACAATATCTACAATATCTCCCGATGAGTACATTTTTTAAAAAGCAGAGAAGCTGCTGAAAAAACTTTGTTAAAATTTGATCAAAAGCCTATTTCAAATGCTCATACTAAAAGCACTTTTGTATGAAATATAATCTATGAAACAATAAATTAAAATTATTCTTTGTTGAAACCTTATCTATTGAGTATTTCTAAATATTTTTTCTCTTGTTAAAATCAGAAGGTGATTTTGGGTGAAAATGTACCAAAATCAACTATTGTATCGAAAAACGTGTGATGGATAGCAGACTGCCCTCAACAACAAATCTCTACGGCATGGTGATTAATAGTCACAGCTATAAAATCACATTGCCTGAGCCCAAAACCAGTGCTGATACTTATTAGCTATATGACCTTAGGAGGGTTACATAATCTCTCTGTGCCTCGGTTTTTACCATTAGTGAAATGTGGAACACTATTGTATTTATTGAAGAGAATTGTTGTGGGGATTAATGAAATAACATGTGAAACATTTGGCATTGTCCTTGGCACATAGGAAATGCTCAAAAGGCTTAGCAATAGTCATTATGGGTATGTGTGTGTGTGTGTATACATGGGTATGTGTGTGTGTATATATATATACACATATATATATACATACATATATATATACATACATATATATGTACACACACATACATACCCATATATATGTGTATATATTTATATATATTCCTGTCAATACCTTATATATATATTTAATATTATTATGAAAATTAATCAAGTAATGCAACAAAATGCTAATTTTAGGAATGTTGTCATTGCATAGCATTACCCATAACTACACATTTGGAAGCATCCAGTATAAAAAAATAGTGTTTTCTTCTTTTTATTTATGTACATTAAATACGTATTAAGACAAAATTATAGAAAGTGAGTACAAATGAATAACAAATGTTGTATCTTTAGGTTATGTTTAAAGGTCAAATTTTACAAAACTTCCTTCTTTTTATTGGAGTGTGTTTGTTATTTTAAAAGTCACACCTAGTGAAGCTGAAATGAACAGAGATGTGAAGATAGGAAGTTTTGGTTTCCTGAACACCAAGGCCACTGTCTGACCAAAGCGCACAGCTTTACCACTATTTCTGTGCCATTATTGACTTAGTCTCCTTTCAAAAATAGTGCGTAGATTTCAAACATAGTAATTGCTACCATTTCATTATTGACTAGTAAATGCCAAGCACTATTCTAAATGCTTGTAAATATTATTTTGACAATCTTCTGTAATGGTGAGGAAAAATCGTAAGAATTCATATATAATGAGAAAATGCAATTTCCTTTTGATAATTAACTGGAAGAACTCTCACCATCTGGTTAGCATTAAAAAACTAACTAAATGCCCAACTAGTTTAAATTTAATCCAGTGTGACCATGTACATAGCTGCTAGGGCCTGGTCTCTCATTTAGGTAGGTTTTCAGTCTCTTAGACTGAACTACTCCCAGTCTCTTAGACTGGGAACTACAATTCAAGATGAGATTTGGGTGAGGACGCAGACGTACCATATGACATACCTCTCTTCTTGTCTTTTTCCTAAGGTGGGGTACAAGAGGACTGTGTGGGTGACTTGACCCTGAAGTTTTAGAGGATAGAAGAATATGCCGACCTTGTGCTGGTCATTGGGTCTACACTAACTACTGTCTACTGGAATCTGGTACAATGCTTCCTGTCTACCTACAGACTACTAAGGCTTCAATCTGCGGCTAGTGCATTTGTGGTTCTTTATTTTTGGCTGGGCAATGTTCCTGGAGTAATTTGAGCTCCCTTTGGCCATGCTGATTGCAGGTCCATCTGCTCCTACCTACCCCAATGTCCTGTAGTCCACCCAGCTTCTACTGCAAGATTAATTGCAGGCACCTGGCAGGCACACTGACTTTCCACTAATGCACCCCACACATGAACCGAGAGGCTGGGGAAGGCCACCAGATCCTCTCCCAGCATGATCACAACTTTCCACTCTTTTAGCTAGACTGGGTTGCCTGTGATGTTACAGGTTTCTTCTCCAATTCCAAACGGAGAGTGCAGAGAGAGATCTTTCCATGCTAGATATACCTCTCAATTTTTCTAACACATGTTCTCTCCAAGCCCAGAGAAAGGAGATTCAGACTATGTTGGTTTGTGTAATTCATTCTCTGTCCCTTATTCTTTTTCCTTTTTCTCTTTTCCATAGCCCCTTAACACTGAGAACTTCTAGTCTACTTTTCCCACATCGTATACTCTTTACCTCTTTACACCGCAGAACAGCAAACCTCATGGTTTTGCTATTAAAAGCAGAAAAGCCACTTTTCTGAACTTTGGTAGAATACTTTGAGCTAGATCTTTTCCAGTATGGTTAATGGGTTAAGAGAAGAGCGGAAGGGGATTGCTAAAGAAATAGAGCAAATCCTATGTCTCTGCAAAATTTGTCTGTCCAGCCTATTGTTTTGTTCAGGTACCAGTTTCTCATGGATAATGTTGAGGAGCTGAAGTGAAATATGATTTTAAAATTAATTTCTGACAAACAGTTGTTCTTTATTACATTTATAATATGTATGTTTTTCATCCCAGAAAACTGAGGCTCAAAGATGCTAAATAACTTGCTCCGGTCAAATTCCCACTTCTACTTGCATCTGATGCCCCCTTTGCCTTCATTAATATGTTGACACCTTGGCTGAGTTCTTAGTCCTCTTCCCTTCTCAGAAGCCTGCACTCCACAGCTTTTCCACAACACATTTGCCTACTGAATCTTACCAATATTCCTCCTGGTGTCTTACGAACCTTCTTTCATAATGTTCTATATGATATAAAATGGAAAAATAAAAAAATCATTCAATATTAAAGTCTAAGGACAAAACATCCCAGGCCATGTAGAAAGTAACTCTTTAAAATTACTCTTGCAGGCCAAATTCATTCAGTCAACAAATGTTTATCAAATTGCTTTGTCCCAGGCACATTTTAGGCACTGAGAGTACTGCCCTGAAAACAACAAATTTTCTCACGGAAGGAGGCCTATACAAGCTCCAAAAGGACTCCAATCCATGGGAGGGAGACAGACAACAAATACATTAACAAATAACTATATAATACTTCAGATGACGGTAAGTGATATGTGGAAAGTGAAACAGGATAAGGTGGATGTGACAGCAGTATCTATTTGTTTTATATACAGTGTAAGTGAAGGCCTTTCTATCTTTGTATTAGTCTGTTCTCACGTTGCGAATAAGGACATACCAGTCTATAAAAGAAAGAGGTTTAATTGACTCACAGTTCAGCATGGCTGGGGAAGCCTCAGGAAACTTATTAATGCAATCATGGTGGAAGGGGAAGCAACACATCCTTCTTCACATGGCAGCAGCAAGGAGAAGTTCAGAGCAAAGTGGGGAGAAGCCCCTTATAAAATCATCAGATCTCATGGGAACTCACTCACTATCACAAGAACAGCATGGAGGTAGCCACCCCTGTGATTCAATTACCTCCCACCAGGTCCCTCCCTCGACATGCAGGGATGATGGGAACTACAATTCAAGATGAGATTTGGGTGAGGACACAGACATACCATATCAATATTCAAGCCAAGACCTGAAGGAAGCAAGAGAGTAAGAAATACAGATGTCTGGGGAAAGTCCATTCCAGGCACAGAGAGCAGGAAGTATGCTTGTATGTTCAAGGAAAAAGATGGGCCCCATTGTGGCCAGAAGAAGGAAGACCAGGGGAAGAATGGTGGCAGATGAAGAGGAGACATATGGGCCTTTGGGACTCTGCCTTTCATTCTTTAAAAGGGGCAAGGCCACTGCAAGGTTTTGAAAAGAAGATTGTTATCAACTGACTTGAGCTGCTAGGTAGAGGCAAAACTATGGGAAAGCAGCAGTGAAATCAGGAGGAACAGTTAGGAGGTTACTGCAATAGCCTGGGAAAAAGATGTGGGCTTAAATCAGAATAGTGAGAACAGTTTTGTTCAGATCTAACAAGCCACTCCAAATTTAGAGAAATAAGACAAATATTTAATTATGCTCATGAATTCTGTGCATCAGGAATTTGAACAGAGAAGAACTGGAGAGCTAGCTTCAACTTCATGATTTATGGAGCCTCAGGTGAGAAGACATGAAAGTTGAGGGACTCAGTAGTTGGGGGCTGGTACCATCTGAAGCTTATTTACTCAGGTATCTGGTGAGCGATGATGGCTGTCCACTAAAAATGACTACATGTTTCTTCTTCATGTGTCTTGGACTTCTTCCCAGCATGGTAATTGGGTCACAAGATTGAGTGTCTCAATCAAATTGCATGGTCTTTTCAAATTAACAGACACCCTCTGACCAAACTTGGGTCAAGCTCCTGTGAGCCCTCTTTTTAACTAGGCCTCCACATTGTCTTGTCCTGTCTTTGGCTTACTGAGTCTAGTTTCAGGAAAAAATCCCAAGTCAGTCTCACAAGAATCTCCCCATCCTTGGCCAGTCCTTGGCCTGCTTTTAGTAGGAATCCTGTTAGGCCTGTGTAGCAAGAATCCATCAACCCTTATATCTCCCCTCAGTAATTTTCCATCTACTGCCCCCTCACTGTCCATTGGCTTTAAATCCTCAGCTGTCTTTTCAGTATTCAGAAATGCATTCAGTCTCCCTCCCCTATTGAAATAGTTTTAAATAATATCTGCCTTACCATTTTAACAAGTGTCTGAATTTTTGTTAACAAAATCTAGCCTCAGAAGACATACAGTGTCATTTTGGCCACGTTGTTTATGGAAGCAATTGCCAGCCCACCTAGATTTGAGAGCAGGATGATTAGAGTCTATTTCTTGATAGAGGAGAAGCAGTATTTGTTTTAAGAATAACTTGCAAAATAGGAGTTATTGCTGTGGTTGTCTTTGGAAAATAAATTTGTCCCAAGATTATATAAGGGAGAGTCATAGAAGAAATAAAATAATCTATTAAAAGCTTTTTTGGTGGGTATTTATCTTCTACCAAAAATACCAGGAATGTGCATTTTTTAAAATATAACATTCACTTTTTTCCCTTTAGAAAATAATTTATATTCAATACATCATAGAGATTAAGATCTCAGGTTATCCATTCCATCAATGGTTTAAATAATTCCTGGACCACTTTCTGTCTACTTGACTTTGAACAGGGTATTTATTCTCTTTTCTCCAAACCTCAGTTTTCTTATCTGTAATTGGCAGTCATAATAATAGTAACAATCAGAGTTTTTGAAAGTATTAAATGTGACAATTCATGTGAAGTTATATAATTATATAGAAATTGTTCGATAATTTTAGCTCTTATTACCTTCACCCTTATTATTGGAAACTTAAGATATGGAAAAATGAAGAAAATAAAAATAATCAGAAAGAGTACCATCCAGATAAATGTCTTGTGATACAATTACTATATTAGCATAATGTAAATGTGAAGAAAGTTAATATATTTTATTTTATTTACAGGTGTTAGAGTTGTTTTCTTCATATAGTAATTTTTTGCAATCAATTTTTATACGTATTTGATTAACTACCCTCTATATGAACCCCACATGCAAACATACACACAAACACACAAACATATGTATGTAAAAGGCAAAAAAGAAATAGATTTGCCACAGCCTCAGTGGTTTGGCCTTTTTCCACAAGAGTAGTGAAAAACGTATTTGAAGTGGATGTGGCTTAAACATAGGCATACCCCAAGCTAAATAAAAAACAAACATGAATTCTTCTCAAGGTGCAATTCATTCAAATAGAGGATTTGAAATTCGATAAAATGCCAATGCAAAGGCATATAATGCTTGAATGACATTAATTAGTTTAATATTGAGCCCAGGAGCAAGTGAGGCTCATCCACTGAATATGTACATAAGATTTTTCTATCAAGGAGAACCACAGAAAAATATCTAAAGTGGCTTCCTCCTCTTATTTACATTCAGGTTCCTATTAACATGTTCCTGAGAAAGAACTTTATGCAAATATAAGCCTTCCAACTTAATAGCAAACTGATCATAAGCTGAGCACTCTTCTTTTGTGAGCAAACACCTTGAAAAAGCATCTGAACCATGAAAGTATTTAAGAGACTATGATTTTAACCAGACTATATTTTAAGACATCAAGTAAAACGTAAGATTTAAAGTATCCTCCTATAATCTTAATCCCAGAAAACTTTACAGGTCTCTAACTTAACAGCATTAGTTGACAAATACTAAATTCACATTTCTTAACTGTTCACCAGTTCTTTTATAGGCTTTATTTTCAAGATTTTTTTTGGTTTTTCCTATATATGTAATTTGTGATCAGGAATTTTACTCTAATTTTCATCTTTTTCTCCCAAAATGAATATTATAAATCTGACCAGGCAGCCAATTTAACAGCTGTGACAACACAAGCCTCTTAGGTTTTTCAAATTAAAACCATTCCAAACTTATCTTGGTCACCCCAATTTAAAAACAAATCCATAGCAGTTTTAATATTTCTGTATATAATGATTTTTTTCTCTACACTAACCACGTATTTATTTTGAAAGTTCAATGACAGTTGTTCACAACAAATTATACTATTGTCACTGCATTCTTATATATGTAATGCTCCATCATTAATAAAACCATACTTCTTTGAGTTTCAGAAGTCTTTCACAGACAATTCAGCCAAAGGCCAGAAAAGAATCAGTATAACAATAGGAGCTAAGAAGTAAACTGGCAATTCTAAGATCATGACCTATCATACCTTTTTGACTATTAACTTATCATCTGACCTTCTGCTAGTCATTTACCCTCACATAGCCTTCTTTCTGAAGTGTGTAAAAATGGGAATGACAACACTCTGGTTACAGCTCAAAGAGATCAAGGAGAAAAAAAACTGGTACAGGGGCTGTAAAATACCTTGCAGGCTATAAAATACCACATAAATGCTTGATAGTAAAACAGCTACAGAGCTCCATCGTTTAATATAAAACTAGTTTTTCTGCTAAACAAAGTACTAGCAGAAGCAAGATCCAACAGGAAAAGATGCAGAGCTCCTGGTGATAATGAAGTGTTTGTTTATTTGTGTATTTGTTCAAATTGATTTTATGGACTGAGGGGGAGATATCTGCACAGACTATGTGATCAAATGTATAGAGTAATCCAGTCATCACATACTACTCTAAAAAGACAGTCTAATCAGGCATGCTGAAGTCAGAAGCTGGAAGGCAAAACATTACACAGTCCCATGGGTGTGTTCCTCTTCAAATGAGTTTGTGTATGTGTGGTTTTTGGCTAATGGAACTGTTTTATGGTAAACAACCAAAAGTAGAGATTTTTTAACATATTCTTTTTACTCCCCCTATTTGAGTATGTTCGTCATATCATTTTCCCTTTGAAATTCTAATTTCATTTGCTCAAGACCAACATTAATTATTTCAAGGAAACTTCCCCCAAATTATCATCTTACTTAAAGATTTAATCACAACTAGATGTTGCCTAACAAAACTCATGCTACATTAAGAAATATCTCAATCCTTTTGGTTCTTCTTTGCTGCTCCTCAGATGAGGAATAAGCTAGAGAACAGGTTTCATCTTGTCACCTTTCACAGGAAAACCGCTTTTTGGTCTCGGTCTTGGAGTCACTTGCTAATTTACTATTTCATACTTTTTTTTACAAACAAGTATAAGCCACCGGGCTGGGCACGGTGGCTCACTCCTGTAATCCCAGCACATCGGGAGGATGAGGGCAGTGGATCACCTGAGGTCACAAGTTCGAGACCAGCCTGGCCAACATGGTGAAACGCCATCTCTACTAAAAATACAAAAATTAGTCGGGCACATTCATGCGTGTCTGTAGTCCTAGCTACTCGGGAGGTTGAGATAGGAGGATCACTTGAACACGGGAGGCGGAGGTTGCAGTGAGCTGAGATGGTACCACTGCACTCCAGCCTTGGCAACAGAGTGGGACTCTGTCTCAAAAAAAAAAAATCAAATTAAAATCTGTGTGTGTGTGTATATGTATATATGTGTGTGTGCGTATGTATACACATATATGTATATATATGTGTGTGTATATATGTATACATTATATATATATGTGCCACCTTAAGAAAACAATGCCAAGTCCTGAATCAGGAGAAAAAAAAACGTTAATTCAGCTAGCATATTAAGAAATTTTAGTATGTATTAAGTAGTAAGTAGTATGTATTAAGTAATGTAGAGTGTTTTTATCACAACTATTCCTCCTAGCCCATGACTAGATTAAGACACAAAGGACAACACTACATTTTTAAAATTTATTATTTGTATATCTCTGGACAATCACTAATTTTCTTACTCTACCAGTTTTTTCATTCATTCATTCAAAAAGATTCACTGAGACCTGCTTCTTGCTAGGCATTTCTAGGCACTGGAGATTGAGTAAACAAGAGGGATAAAAGTCTCTGTCCTTGCCAGGTGCGATGGCTCACATCCGTAATCCCAACAACGGGAAGCTGAGGCAGGAGGATGGCTTGAGCCCAGGAGTTCGAGCCCAGCCTAGGAAACACAGTGAGACCTTGTTTCTACAAAAATTTTCTTTAAAAATTAGCCAGAAGTCGTGGTGCACACCTGTAGTCCCAGATACTAAGGAGGCTGAGGTGAGAGAATCTCTTGAGTTCAAGAGTTTGAGGTGACAGTGAGCCATGAGATCACCACTGCACTCCAGCCTGACAAAGTAAGACCCTGTCTCTATTTTAAAAAAAGAAGAAAAAAAAGTATCTGTCTTATATTCAAGCATACATTGGAAATAATACCTTTCTTGTTCACCTCTAAGTGTCATGATAATGTAGATATGATAGTTTGTGTGAAAATACTTTGTAAACTACTAAGCGCCATATGGATGTTATTTTTATGATTATGGTAATTATATTATTGCTAATATCACTAAGTATTAGATACAAAGCCACCTCTGAATGATAAGTAGGAGATTTCTGTTACAAGAGTGGAGGTAAGGAAGGAAAAGAAGGCATTTAAGCACAGAATGAGCCAAGGACAGACCTTGTGACATTACCGGGTTTTCTGAGAACAACCAATAGTTTTCTTGTTCTCTGGGGCATAAAATGCAAGGAATCTGAGATAGTGAGAAAGTAATTTGAAGAAGAAATCAGGACCTTTGTAAGAAAGCCTGGGCATGCACTGTTATAAAGGAGAATGAGCTTCATGAAGTACTTGAAGTGAAGCCACTGAGAAATTTTAACAGAAGAGTGACACGGTTTATTTTTACATTTCAGGCAAATCACAGTGGTAGGAAAGAAGATAATATTGAGGCAGATGAAACAAGAATTAGAGAACACAGCTTAGAGGTCATTGGGATAGAAGGGTAAAGCACAGAAAATCTGAACTGTGGAATTGAGTGTATAGAGAAGGGTGAAGTTTAGAAATGTGTTTAGAAAGTAAAATAATTAGGGTTTGGTGACATGATTGGGGAGGATATGGGAGGATTCTAAGTTTAGAATCAAATTTCTGGTTTGTTTGGATAGTTAAAGTGAAGCACTCTCAACGTCCCAAAATTATGAGCAGACTAAATTTTTCATTATGAATTTATTGAATTTAGTTTGGAAAAGTATGAGACTGAGAAGACTAACACCTGAGAAGAAATACACAACAGATAACTGAATATCTGAGACCAAGACTCAGCAGAGAAATTAGAAATGAAGATAGAGAAGTGGGTGCTACCAGCAATAAGATACTAACTGAAACCTCATGAGTGAGTGAGGATTGTCTGGTGTTAGCATGGAGACTTTAGCAGAATTTTCAAAGATGAAATGTGTGACAGGTGTGATTTGAACTATCATGTATTAGTTTAGTTTAGTCTCTCCTTTCTCAGGAGGCTAAGCTTCCCTTTTAAACTGTCACCTTCCTCCCCACTCTGTGCAATTCTCTCTGCTTTGGAGAAGAGAGGGGGTTTATGAGATCTAAAATAGGGATAATGAGGGCGATAGCGAGGAGAGGTTGGACTCCCTTCTGGACTGTGTATGTGATCATTCCTTTCCCTCTTCCCGCTTACTTTCCTTCGTCCCCAGTCTGAAGTTGCAGAAAACAGACCTGAAATCATGCATGTGAAGGGGTAGAAAGGCATGACACTTTTTCTCACCCATCATAAGGGTCATAGCCAACACTCCTGTTACAAAAGACAGGTCAAAAACAAAAAAGCGTAACAAATGTATTTAATCAAACATGACATGGGAACCTTCAGAAACAAGACCCAAAGACATAGGGAAAATTGTCTGTTTGCTTGAATGAAGAATGGACAATCACATAGGTCATATAAAAATGTGATTGAGAGAAAGGGTATAATCTAATGGTTAGAGGCTGACGGGGGAAGCCAGCAAGGCCTGTCAGTTCAGATTCTTCTTGGCCTTGTTGTGTAACATACCTTCCTCCTGAGGATAGGGCAAAACCTCTCTGAAATGAGGGTCTTCAAGGGAAAGAAAAGGAGTTATCTTTCTAGGTTTTATGCCTTGCTTTGGGGAAGAGGAGTTCTAGTTTCTATGACCAGCCTTGTGGAAGAAGAATTCTGGTTTCTGTGACTCACTTTTGGGGAGAATAAGGAGTTGAAGACAGGAGAATGGCAGAAGGTCAGAAAGACCTTGGATCTGAGGCCCTCCCGAGTTCCTTCTGTGCAAAGTATTCAGCACGCCCAGATACCACACTTCAGGATACTGTGTTTTGAGTGCCCCCACACACAAATTATTTTGTGTTAAGCAGCCTTAGAGTCTATTTTGGCAGTAGAGAAACACAGGAGAAAAACACAAATGAAAAGACAAATATGATGTCTGCACACAATCTTGGGAAAAAGCAATACTAATGAATCATTCGTTTATTCATTCATCCTCACATTCACTAAACAAATATGCATTGAGAAACTATGTTGTGCTAAATCTCAGCACAGAAAGAAGTAGGATCTTATCGTGATCCTTGAGAAATTTCCAGTCTTGAAGAGAGGCATTCATATCAGATTGCTCTTCTAATATTTCAATTTGAATGATAGAGAATCTGCGGACTTTGGTAACAACAACAAAACAGAAAAGGAAATTCTGCTTTAAAATAATTCTGCCTATATTTATTTTAATCATGAAATTTAAAGAATTTGCTGTTTAGCAGCAATGTGTACCATTGATTGCTCGACTGGATGAGGTGACCTTCAAACTTCTGAGCAATATGTACCATTGGTTGGTCAACTGGATGAGGTAATCTTCAAACTTCTGTTTCAATTAAATAAACTCTTAGTCAAGTCCCCTATGACAAGGACATTCAGCCCATTTCCAAAAATTGAAATATTTTCTACACTTTAAATGGAAATTGCATATTTTTTCTTGGGCCATAATTTTGATTCAAGTAATTCATAACAAATTACCATTGCCTATTTATATATATTTTTAATTTCAAGCTTTAATTATTTTATTCATGAATACTTCTTCTAGCATCCTAGATTAGTGGTTTCAAACTCTACCTTTAAATGAAAGCATCCCTTTCCTTTCTGTCCTCTAGCATCTCTTAAAAAGAAGTCAGTTTAAAGTCTCATGATATTTAATTTCTCATTAATTTTCAATTCCTCACTATGAGTTTGTTATGTGTATGATATTCAAACTCACAGTATTCAACTGAACTTTTAATAAATCCTTTTTACTAGTCATACTTAAAAAAATAATCACAGGCTTTAGAAATGTCTGCATAGTAATTTACATATCATTTAATCGTTGTTTTCAATTTTCTGGGATTTTCCACCCTTTTCATCTGTATGTCCTTCTCTTTTCAACTATTCATGAAATTTTATCACCTGGAGATAAAGTAATTTAAGGCATTTTTTTTCTGATTTGCTCTTTTCTATATTCATAAATTTGCCAGATTCTAGAAATCCCTATAATACACCCAGCATTCATGCTGAACTTAACTTTTGTGGATGAGCAAAACTAAACGTTTGCCAATTTCAAGATAATTGAACTGACCCATTGTTTTCCGTATATCAGGGAAGAGCAGGCTCAAGTAAAATATTTTATTTGAAATAAAATGGAAGGACCCATAGAGGTACAATAATTCCGTGTATAATTCTACATTAGACACATGCATTCACAGTGTAAATGTGCCCTTTCTTTTGCTAAAACATCATTAAAGCAAGTAATAAACATACAAAGTACTGATCAACCCTAGTACTTGCAATAATATGAACACAAAACAAGAAAACAAAATTTAAAGACAAGCATAATTTTCAACTGCCATTGTTGAGATTGTCCATCTGAGCTCTGAATGCCGAAAGATCAACATCAATATTAAAAGAATACTGTAAACAAAGGCAAAGTGTCAACCATTATGCCATTTCTTTTTTTATGCCTTTCTTCTGCAGTTGTAAATTCTGTTACTATAAAAGTAGATGATTCATTGCAATTGTGAGGCCATTTTCATCTAAACAATCAACAGTAATGATGTATTGTAGATAATACAGTGGAAAATTGATTTGGTGTAAATTCTTGGCAAGATATTTTTGCCATGTCCCATGCTGCAAAGGGACAGAACTGTAATGCAGAGATTATACTGCTTTTTTGCAAACTCTCTTCAGGGGAAGAGACTATTTAAGCATCATCACACTTATGCATTATAAATCAGTGCAAAACACGACCCCTCTCTTTTTATGGGAAACATAGCATTAGCATTTTCTAAATGAGACTGCCGTTCAATGCATCATATCAGATAAATATAAGGGGCATCTAGCTATATTTAGCTCCCCAACTGAAGTACACATCAGATTTATATCTGAAGTTTTTGTGGGACAATGTCTCTTAAAGAGTCATTTCCAAATAGCTTAAAGGATCTGTACTAAGTGACAGGAAATTTTACTTTTACTTTCAGCCTTACTACTATCTAGCTGTGGGACTTTTGATATGCCAAATCCCTTCTGAATTTCTTTTTACATTTGACTGAATGGGACTAGCCCAGTAGAAAGTTTAAAAATATATAGGTGTTCCCTGTCTTTCCCCAGACAAGTTAAATTAGAATTTCCAAAGGTGGGACGGAGGCATTGGTATTTTCTTAAGCTCCTCATGAGATTGTAATATGCATCCAACAATCACTTCCAACTCTAAAATGCTCTGACTTTTTTTAAAACAACTTGCTATTTGAGAATTTCAGCATGTGTTTTAAATAAGTTCTAGGAAGAGAATTTTCAACGTAAGGTGTTGGTATTTGTTCTATCAGTTGCATTCATAATGTAGGCTGACAAGGAAAAAAAAAAGAAACACCAAGAAAAAAAAATTAACAGAGAAGGTAGACAGGCCATGCAAACGAGAGCTCAATTACAGAAGAGCTGTCTCCAGGAGACTAGAGTCATGCTCTTTAACATTCTAAGTGATTGGTTTGTGCAGTGAACCAAATCTGAGCAGTTCCAATGTTTGAAAATGTAATGACTTAAATAGAAATACTAATATACCCTTCAAGGTCATGAAACAGTTCTTTGGCCTTAGGAAACATGTAACTTCTGTGGGCTCATGTAGGTCAATTTGATAGACCTCATATAACCTTAAGATGCATCTTGCTTTTTCCACTGCATTAAAATATGTTAATACCAGCTTTGGAATCAAATTGACTCATTTATTTAAATCTGCCTTTTTTAAACTTCTTTTCCATTTGCAGAATTACCAAGAACTTGTTTAAATTACCATATTTTCTAACTCAACAAAATTAGGCAAAGGACTAGAGTACAAAAAGGCCATCAAAACAAGAGACTAAAAGAAATCTGAGAATAACTATACTTTGCTAATGACAGCCTAAAATTTAATTTAAACTGAGCCCTGAAAATGTTTAATCATTAAGAATTGAGTTTCAATCCTCAAACACATGTTTAAGGAATGTATCGAATAGGTTATCTCTATCCAAATTATTGAAAGTGGGAGAGGGTAGGTAGCAACCTACTAGGAGTTATTTCATCTAGAAGTTTTTTTGTCCTTTCACTTAGAAGATAGGCTGTTGAATTTCATATATAAAATATGGTACATGAAATGTAGTCAATACTGCACCTTACACACAAAGCCTAAAAGTACATTAAAAATAATGGCAAAAATTGCAATTACTTTTGCATCAACCTAATAGAACAAAGTTCATATTAATCCAATTTCTAGCAACTGATTGCTAAGTTATGGCCATACCCACTGTTTCAGATCCAGCACCCCCTTTTTAAAAACAAATATTCTGTAGATCCCCTTACCTTCCAAGTAACACAATCTATCTTCAACTAAAATTTTTAAATATGCAATAAAATAAATATATAATGACAGAATAGATATGTTAATGTACATTCATAATTATAGCATCTTCCTACTTATATACTCTAATTATGAGCTGGTAGGGATCACAGGAGAGTAAGATGAAAACTCATTCCATACAAGAAGGCCAGGAAAAGTAAAGAGCAAAGGCAGCCATGGACTCTACACTAATAACAGCTCAGTCTTATCTGTATAAACGGATAGAAAAATAAAAAAATAATTGCATTATAGGTAACAAGGCAAAGTAAATTACAGTTTATCAATGGTGAGAAAAATGAGTATATATGATATTCTTATAAATGAGCTGGTCCTTATTTAGAAGTGTACTTTCCAAGCAATTCAGTTTGTTATGGCATGGGATAGAGTACCAGTGAAGTGCCAGTGGAAACACTTTCTATCGTGGAGTCAGTCAAAATGTCCAAGGATGAATTCAGTCTCTGCTACTTAAAAATCCTTGGAGATAGTATCTTTCTTTAGGCAAAGGATAATAGAAGATAGACTGGAAAAATAAACAGTAATAAAAGAGGCTGTAAATAAATCATGAGGTAAATCCCTGAGGACAATTTCATAGTAAGATAGAAAACACTCTTACGAATAATCTAAATAAATTCAATTCACACTTTCTATGACAGATTTCTTAACCTGTGTACCAAAAAAAAATTAAATACAAGGATGATCACAATACTAAATAGTTTTAACTTTCAGTATTATAGTTCCATTAATTTCATAATATTTGGTTCTAAGTATTTAAAAAGTCTTGTGGGCACAGTGCCTCATGTCTGTAGTCCTAGCTCCTCGGAAGGCTGAGGCAAGAGGATTGCTTGAGCCCAGGCTGCACCGCACCGTGATCTAGCCTGTGTTCCAACCTGGGCAACAAAGCAAGACCTAGTCCCTCAAAAAAAAAAAAAAAAAAAAGTCTCTTATTTTCAATCTGTTATATTTTAGCAAACAGATATTATGTTTTTCTGAAACTACACTAATAATTTAGAATCTCTTCAAATTCACATGTTGTTAAAAAGAAGAAAAGTTACAGGTAATTTAATTTATTTTCAGACATTAATATAAAAGCCTTTAATTTGTTCAAATATTTTCATAATTAGACTAATTAATTTGTAGTTTGGTCTGAAAGTTTTGTTTTAGCTCAATTAACTCTTTTGCATGTCTTGCCTAACATATTCCACAGTAATTTCAAATAGATTAATCAACCAGTCTGAAATTGCTGTTCATTCAGAACTTTACATCCAACCATTATATCTTTATTCAATAAAAGTAAGAGTTATCTATTTCTAAATAAGTATCTTTAAAATCCAAAGTGTTGCAAAGACAGAAACATTGAAAATTCTAAGTACCAAGGTCATTTTAAATAGTGTAAGTTTAATAAATCTCATAATTATTTACTTCATTTTAATAAATTAGATCTGGTTTCATTGCAGCTAAAGGTGACTTCAGTTAACTTTTCAAGTATCTCTGAATTATATGTCACATCCATTCATAATATTTCACTCTTAATATTATTTTCCCACTAATATAATTTGTAAATGATAAGTAATGAACAGAATTTGTTTTGAACCATATTCTTTGAGAATCATCCTACTTATGTGTCTAGGATAAGATGTTCAAACTCCTATTAAATATTCTATATGAAATAATAAATCACTCACAGAGTTATTCTTAATTTTATTATTAACACTCTTCATCAATTTGTGGAGACTTCGACAAAAATTATCGAGGACTAAGTGAGATTCATAAATAGTGCAATTAATTGCTAAAATACCTGGTATAATTTTAAAAATTAGCTACAAACTGGTACGCCAACAACCCATAGCTAGCATTCCCAGCTGTAACAGAAGCAATGACTTGAACAAAAGAAAGAAATAATTTTTTATAAAATATTTTTTAGGTGTTTAAAGTATAGACAACTGCTTAAAATTTATTGTCAGTAATTTTTAAAATAACATTTTTCTCTATGAGCTTTCATTCCATACGATCCTTTCAAATGCAGACAGTAAAGCCTCGTTATCCAAAGGAAGTTTTATCCACTTGCAATGAAAATTCATTTTGACTATAGTTCATTTCATGGCTAATTTTTGACATGTTTTGCGATCTCATCGATTATTCCTTACACAGTATCTTTGCTCAATGAAAGACAGAAATTATTTCACTTGGATGTCTTTGGTCAGCATACCGAAAACATCTTATATAGTTGGTAAAATTAATTTTGCCTAATAATATGAAGGTTACTATTTTGTGATGATGTGTGCACACATAAAAAGCAAGCAGATATTTGTTTTTATTTGGATATTTGTATGCATTCCAGACACAATATTAGATTTTTCAAATGTTTTCTTTAAAGCTTGGAAATACGACATATGCCTTCTAACCTTGTCAGCATCCTTCTTTGTAAATCTTTGCTTAGTTTTAACAAGTTGATTTCTTTATTAGAAAATAACGTGGGAGGAATATTCATATTAGCAAGTGTTTATTTGTAGTCCTATCTACAAAACCCAATTTCAAACAATAACCTGATATTCAAGATTTTTAAATGAGCTAAATAAATATATTTATATGTAGAATCACTGTGAATACAGCAGTTACAAGCTAATAGATTTAGGTGTAACGTATTGTTCTGAACATCAAAGAGCATCTAGCTCCTTGGCCCTACCACTAAATCTTGCATCACTCCCAGTCACTGTAACAATAAAAACTGCCCACAAATTTCAAAACAAAAACAAACCCTTAGGGTGTGGTATTATTTCTCTTGAAAATTAATTCCCTAGACCTCATTTACCAAAGATGACACTGTCTATAGGCATCTTGTTTTCAGGCACACCACTTTCTAAATACTACCTCCTGTATGTCCAGGTTACTTCTCTGGTATTCTACATTTGAAAGAAAATTAAGATCTCAAATGTCCTGATCCAATTGTCTTTACTTCTTTCCATTATCCATTATACAGTATGGTTCCCCTTCTTTGTCCAGTTAATTAACGTTCTAAGACCCACCAAAGTCCATCAGTTCTGTTGTGACACTCCTTGGTTAAGCCACAACCTGGTTAAAGCCAGCTCCCCACCTACTCTGCATCTTCCGTCCAAACAGCACACATTGGATCAATAAATCAGCATAAATGATTGCTCATGAATCTCAGAAAAGACTCTCAGGTTATCTGGTAGCTCTAGCAAATTAAATCTATCCACTCTTATTTTTCTAGACTGTTATTTATCTTCTTTTATTCCAACATCCAATCCTGCACCCCCATCCTCACACTTGCCAGATTGATTTGCTTCTGGTTTCCCTAAGACAACAGAATCCGTTGGAAGAGAAAATTCCACATGCCTTCAGGAGTGAATGAATCTTCTTGCCTTCTTTTATGTGTGCCCTCTCTGCCTTCCCTCCTGCCATTCCTGAGAACCTTCAGTGCCCTGGGCTTCATCCAATCTTACTAGTCAAGAATGTTGTTTCCTATATTGTCCCTATCTTCCGTTTGTCATCAATTTTTACATCAAGATAGTATTATCTTTATCTGCATTCTAATGAACAATCATAATTCATATCTTTTTTTAAAAAACAAAAACTCTCTTAACCCTACTTTCCCTCCAATTTGAGTCCCAGTCCTGTTTTCAATTAACAGCAAATTTTCAAGATATTTTACAATTTCTGTCTTACTCTTTTTTTTCTCTTAACACCACTTCCGCTTTCGTCAACTTACCACAAAAGCTGCTCCTAGAAAACACAACAAAAATTTCTGTATTGCCAGATTCATTGATCACTTTTCATTTCTCAGCTTACTTAACTTACAGGAAGCTACTGATGTTGCTGATTAGTCTGGCTTGAAACTCTCTACTTTCACTTTGCTTCTCTCCAGGTTATCTGCATCACTAACTGATCCCTCATTCTCAGCTTGCTGTACAAGATGTTCCTCACCCTCCCAACTTTCAAACATTGAACACTCAGGCTCAATCTTTGGCCCTTTCCCCATCACTTCCTAAGCAATATCATCCACTCCCATGGCTTTCGATGCCATTTATGATGTTACTTATTTTTACATTTAAGAATCCTGCCCAGATTTTATTCCTGAACTCCTTCTCCAATTGTCTATTTGACATCTCAATTTGGATGCCTAAAAAAAGTCTTTAAATTAACATGTAAAAAAAGTGAACACTTGATTTTTCTCTACACAAATAGCTACTTCCCCAGTTTTTTCTGTCTTAGCAATGACAACACTATTCTTTCAGTTGTGACAGCCAAGATGTCAGAGTCATTCTTGTCTTCTCTACTTCTTGTATACCTCACTTTCAGTCCATTAGAAAATGCTTTTGGACCTAATCTCAAATATATATTCAAATAAAATAACTTTTTACCTCGATCACTACTCCTCTAAACTGATGATTCATTTGACAAAACTCAAAAATTCTGCATAAGCAAACACTGTAAAATTTAGTGGATTAAAATAGCCATTTATTATTACTTTAAAATCTTTAGGCCAACTTAGGGAGATGTTCTGCTTATCTGAGCAAGGTTCAGTGGATCTCAGCCTAGCGCTTTAATATCACTGAAGTGTCAGCTGGGACAACTGAGGGGTTTTAACTCTGGCCTACATGATTTCTCATCTTGTTGTAAGCTAATGTGGGCCTGTTCTGATGACAGCTGCCAAGGCTCTAAGAATGCAGAACAGTGCAAGGCCTACTGAGGCCTAGGCAAGGAAATCAGAAACCATATGATGCCACTTCACTGCATTCTATCAGTCAAAACAAGTATGAAGCCCACCTAGATTCATTGTGAGGAAGAGCTGCAAGGTCACACTACAAAAGCGTATGGGTACACAGAAATAACTACTACATTTTTGCATTCAATCTACTATACCATTTCATTCAGAATAAGATCCAAAACCCTAACTCTGGCCAACAAAGGCCCTTTATAATCTGGCAACTCCCCCTTTTCCAACCTCACTTCTTATCTTTCTCCTGTTTCCTCATTGCACTCCAACTACACTGAACATACCCCCATTGCACACCCTCTGTGTTTGTGGTTCAGCCTGGAATTCTCTTTCCCCAAACCTCCTTGGTTCTCTCCCATTCTATCTTTCTGCTCCAATCAGAGAGATGTATCCTGAATCACTATTCAAAATGTCACCACAGGCCAGGCGCAGTGGTTCACGCTTGTAATCTCAGCACTATGGGAGGCCAAGGAGGGAGGATCACGAGATAAGGGGTTCAAGACCAGCCTGACCAACATGATGAAACCCTGTCTCTACTAAAACTGCAAAAATTAGCTGGGCGTGGTGGCGGGCACCTGCAATCCCAGCTACTCAGGAGGCTGAGGCAGAAGAATGGCGTTAACCCGGGAGGCGGAGCTTGCAGTGAGCTGAGATGGCGCCACTGCACTCCAGCCTGGGCGACAGAGCGAGACTCCATCTCGAAACAAAAACAAAAACAAAAAAAAACAAAACAAAGTCACCACATTTCCTCTGCACTCTAAATGTGTTTTATCATTCTTGATAAGACCTATTATTTAGTTCTGGCGTATGGCCTGTCTTCAGTAGAGGAATGTCAACATCATGAGATCAGAGAATTTGTGTTTGGTTCACTGCCTCATCCCCAGTAACGAAACCAGCACTGTTCAATAAAAATATAATGTAAGATGTGTAATTTTAAATTTTTTAATAGCCACACTGTAAAAAGTAAAAAGAGGTAGGTGGAATTGATTTTAATTTTTTAAAAATTTAACCCAAATATATAATACATTATCATTTTAACCATGCCACCAATTTTAGCAAGTACTAAGACATCTTATTTCACATTTTTAAATGCTAAGTCTTCAAAATTCAGTATGTATTTTACCTTTACACACATCTCCAATCAGATACGTGCTCAACAGCCACATGTGGTTAGTGACTACAATTTGGACAGCACAAATCTAACTCATTGTTAGTGCTACATAAGTTTTAGTAATTCTTATTTTAACCTGAACTGTCCACACACAAGTGGACTAGATGACATTGCAGGGAAGTCCTGTGGCAAAAGTGAAACTCCTAGTTCCACAGCTTTATCAGTTGAAGGCAGATCTTACTACTTTCCTCATTTTATCACATTGTCTCTGAAGGTTTTAGTACGTGTTTCTCCAACTTTATCTCCATGTTCTTGAGTGCTTTACTATTTCTCTAGTTTTCTTGATCTCATTGCTCTTAACACTTTCAAGTAAAGAGTAAAACATTCAAGACCACAGAGATAAAGGCTGTAGATAAACGGGAACAAAACATAACACAAAATACCTCAAGTCAATTCTCTTTCTTTCTTCTCTGTTCCCAAAAGTAATATATTTACTCAGAATTACAGTTAGTTGTTTTGGCTAGTTGTGGAAAAAATCAATAACGAGTCTTCTACAACGTTTTTCCTCTCATTGTAAGATTCTTGTGGTCAAAAACCCCATCATGGCTTTCTATGTTCACACCAGCGGCTAAAAAACCCAAGTTTTCTCCATCTCTAGGTAATTACACTTACAGTTCATTTTGCCTAAAAAGCTCACTGTCTTCTCTCCACCCAGCTTCATTATTCAGGTATCAGATTAAATAGCACTGGAAGAAAGGGGATTCTGAATTAGACCATACTCCCTGTTAGACATTTTCATAGCACTCACCTTCCTTCATACCACTTATCATGATTGTAAATGGTAATCATTTGAATAATTATTCTTGAAGCACAGGTCATGCTGCATCCTCAATATAGAGTTACTGACACAAACCACTTGCTCAAAAATACTAAGTAATGAATATTATATATGAAAATATGTGGTTGTTGAGTACATGGGATGAGTAAATTTAGAACTAAAAAAGATTATTAATGCCAACTAATGCCCAGTGCCTACATTTAGGATAGCAGTCCAAATGATGATATTGGAAAACTCTTAATCAACTAACACACACACACACACATACGAACATTTAACTTAAACTCACTGGGCTGTTTATTTGTATCTGAAAACTTTTATGAGTAAGTATAGTATAAAGGGAAAAAGATGTCACAGGGCAGGGTGCAGGGCATTATGAGAAAAGCTGAGCAGATGGCCAGGGGATGTGCCATGCTTCATTATTAAGCACTTGTGTGACCTTCAGGCACTCTGGACCTTAAATTTCTTCTTTGTAAAATAACTTAGCTAGATTTGATCTCTATGAGACCCTATTTCTCAATTCTAACATGCAATTTTTTTTTCTAATTTTAATCTCTCTAAAATTGAGATGCATCTTACAATCAATGCTTTCTACATCCCTGTCAAGTGTGGTTGTGAGTGACATAAACAAAAGAAAAAGTCTTCCCTTGATACCTTCTGGAAAGATCAAGAAAACATTAATACTAAAGCACGTTAGATTCAGTGAAATACAGGGACTTTGAGCCATAAAATTCTGTGATACTAAGTTATTTCCTTTACCACCCATTTCCTAACATTTTAAATCATTTAAAATTAAAAGATAAACATTTATAAAATAGTGTGTCTTTGTGTGACTCACTGACCTGATTCCTGTTAATCATGCTGTAGGTCAAAATGGCCAGGGTGTTTAGACTCATAACTGACATAGAAATATTTACAGTATGTTTTCATCCATGGCTAACTCAAATACCATCACACATACATATTTACCTAAAGACATTCTTTTTTGGTTGAGAAAATAGTCCTCAACCCAGAATTCTCCAAATAAAAAGCTTCATTTCCCTACTCAGCATGAACAGAATCTACGTTGTAAAAGCCTAAAAACGAATGCTTTTGCCACTTTTCATGTCCTTTCACCATGGTAGATTTTTATTTTTTATGAATCAGGCATCATGTATTTATTCAAACAATTATGATATATTTTGATATATAAACACTACACTTACTGGGATGCCACCCACACAGACACACACCTCAGAAGCATTTTAGAGACCTTCCACTGTTCTATCGTTTCTTATTAATTATTTTGTGTTTCAACATTCTGCACACAGTCAATTTCAGTTAATTATACCAGGAATCTCTCTAGAAAATGAAAAGCACTGTATGCACACATTCACCCAAACACAGAATTGTATACACAGAGCCAACATCTGGACACATTTATATATGCCACCCCTCACAACCACAAAGATTTTCTTCAATGAGTTTTGTATCGTTTTGTCTTGAATACTTAATGTTTTCTATAAACTATATCACTTCCCCTTGGGGTTAAAAACGGCATATTTTTAAATCTCTCTCTTTATTCCTTGCTTCAGTTTGTTTTTAAACATATTGACTTAATGTCAAATCTTCACTTAAAACTGGCTTTTGCTAATTTTTGCTATGCAGCTTCTATTATTTAAGTAGAGGTGTTTGCATTTAACGCCAACTGAAGGCAGCGTGAGCTGTCTAGATGGTGCATTAGGGAGAATAGTTGATGGATTACAAATCTCTGCATTTCACCAACAAAAATGAATTTGAATCCATCAATTTTATTCCCTTATGCCAAATTTAGGAAGTTCAGTTTATGCAGATGTGTCAAAATATTACATTCAACACCTAGATGAACGAGTTAAATTAATTTAATTTTGCAGTTTGCTTTGATTGGGTTAGGCTAGTTCTATACACAAAGCAGAAACTCCAAGGGAAATTGAACCTAGTGAGGGAAGGGATCAGGGCAGTAGCAGCTGGGCTCAGCTGAATGGTCAGACAAAGTGTTAGAAATCAGTAACAAGGGAAGGGAGGTGCCTAGACTTTCCTTCTGACACCCATGCCTGTCTTTTACTTAACACCTATCTGATGTCCCTGAAAGAAAGTAACCACAGCTGTGAATAAAATTAAGATGAAAAAAGGCCATTGCGCTTGCAATGCAGAGCAGATCAGTCAGGGCGACCAAAATGAAAGAGAAAAAGGAACAATAATCCTGCTGTGTGGTTATATAGCACCTTTCATCAAAACAATGTGAGAATTCTCTATTTTTGCAGGCCAGCTCCCTAGAGGGCTTTGAAAGCAATTCAGGAGGGAAATAAAAGGATTGCAGAACAGATTTCAGGCTTGAATGATAAAATGGACATTCTGCAACACAGATTTTACTGAATTGATAACTGGATGATTGAGGCTATCACACATAAATAAATTGAAAAGGAGTAAAATCAAAAAGAAAGCAGAAAATTTTGAAAGGATATAAAAGTACAAAGAAAACCTGATGACCTTGAAAGAAGGTCAGAGAACCAGCCTCTATATTCAGACAGTCGAGAAGATTCAAACCTGAAAATCTAGTGGGCTCCTGGCAGGTATGATCAGTACCAAAATAGGAGACCCACACATTTCCAAAACAGCTTAGTAGCAACACTGCACAGTTGGCAGTGTTAAGCAGTTATCAAATCATGGAATCAGTAAGTTGATTTAAGCAACAGTTACTCTGAAATCTAGGCTGCTGCTGCTTTTTATTCTTCCCTATTTTTATTTATTTATTTATTTTATGGAAGGATAGGTCTGTGGAAGGATTGCTACAGAGTGTCCCAATCACGCAAAATACAGGCTTCTGCTCAAGTTTTTCCTGGGTATCTCTCATGGATAACATGGGCCCCACGGATATTCCTCACCTGGCTACATCCCAGTCCCTAAGGAGTAATGGAGAGATGCCACCTTAGCCAGTGCTATTGGTCACAACCTAGACCCTGAAAGAAGGAAGATTTCCCAGGTCCTTTCTCAAGTGTCTTGATTGGCTATTCCAAGAGAACTTAGAAAGGGAGGAGTTCCCTGAAGGCTCCCTCTCTCTCCCTGCAGTTAGAAAATGTCCATCAGCATAAATAGCTAATGCATGCTGGGCTTAATACCTAGGTGATGGGTTGATAGGTGCAGCAAACCACCCTGGCTTATGTTTACCTATGTTAACAAGCCTGCACTGTACTGCATATGTATCCCAGAACTTAAAATAAAATTAAACTAGTTTAAAAAAAAAAAGAAAAAAAAAGAAAACGTCCCTCCATGCTGGGTGTGGTGGTTCATGCTTGTAATCCCAGCACTTTGGCAGGCTGATACAGGCGGATTACTTGAGGCCAGGAGTTCGAGACCAGCCTGGACAACATGACAAAACCCCGTCTCTACTAAAAGTACACACACACACACACACACACACACACACACACACACACACAATAGCCAGGGGTGGGGCGCACCTGTAGTCCCAGCTACTCAGGAGGCTGAGACACAAAAATAGCGAACCCGGAAAGCAGAGGTTGCAGCGAACTGTGATCATACCACTGCATTCCAGTGGGACTCTGTCACAAAAAAAAAAAAAAAGAAAGAAAAAGAAAGAAAAGAAGAGAAAAAAGAAAGGAAAAGAAAAAGAAAAAAAGGAAGAAAGAAAATGTCCATCCAAAGCTTTCCCCAACCACTGGAAACACTGGTAGGTTTGTGCTCGGGGCATTACTTTCCCCAGGACAGTTGGAGGAGAAGAGAAATTAGAGGAGGAAGGTGAGATGTTAGAAGTAGCTGCACACCCTGGGCAAGGTGAGTCATTCCATCCCCAGAAGTTCCATGTGACCCAAGGTCTCAGCTTCCTTTTAATGGAAGAGGAAGCCACCTTCCTTTCTGTGCTCAAGGAGACACTGGACAGGCCTTTTTACAAAGTGGAATAGCAAAGTCTCTTCTACTTTTCCACAAGGTATGCTTTATGTCTTCTTTGCTGGTGTAGATACCAGTGAGAAGGAAATGCAGTAGTGACAAGAAGTCAAGCAAAATAGACTTTCAGTACCTCAGAACATCACCTTCTCCTACTCTTCTGCAGATTAAAAGATCAATGGGTCAAAAGGGCTTCACTTCATTGCAGACATTAATAGTAAGACTTATGCTGTTTTACTTTAAGGTTGGGCCTGATTTTCACATTGTGGAAAGAACTACAAGCAAATTTCTACAGCAGGTTTCTATTTAGCACTATCTAGCACAAAGTAATGATCTGTTAATATTAACGATAGCCTACACTTTCCTTAGAAATGTTTTCTATAAGCATTATCTGAAACAGGATTTTTTTTCTCTAATAGGAATGTGGTACCTTGTGATAAAAGAAGTGTCTCTCTCTCTCCCCCCACCGTGTGTGTGTGTGTGTTTGTGTGTGTACAGATACACAGGCTGTCATTCTGCAATTGAAATACCTCATTAAAAATAATAAAATTATAATATTGTAGTGAACCATCTCCAACAAAATTTTAAGTTAATTACAGTAAAAAAAAAATGTGGCCTAAGTAAAAGAATATGACATTTGGAAGAAGACAGCAGATGATAGTGGAAAGACATGGGGAATAGGTCCAAAACAGACCTAGTTCAAATCTTTACCTATAACCTTGACTGTTATTGTTAGCTTTCCTATATCTATCTTCATCTATGAATTGGAGATAGCAATACCCACCTGTCTAGGTTAGTGGGAAGATTAGAAATTATGTAAATATAGTGCCTTCACACAGCAAGCATTCAATAAATTGTAGCTACTATCACTAATGGGAAGCAGCACATTGCAGATAGAATAAAGAGTAGGGGATTTCAAGAGAAAGAAACTGATAAGTCCAGTTTGATATTTACCAGCTGTTTAACTTTGGGAAAGATAGTTAACAGCTGTGACTCTCCGTTGCCTCACATGTTCAACGGGCATAATAATAATTATTTCATAGGGTTGTTGTAAGTAATAAACATGTCAAAGTAAGTAAAGTGCTTACCTGGAATATAATGGATGCTCAAAATATGTGAATTCCCATGGTCTCCCTGCCATGCAACCAAACAGATCTACTTTTACATAGGTTTGTTATTCAACAATAAATAACGAAAAGCATTTATAACCAAATACCCAGAGGATCTTCCTATGATTATTGCTAAAATATCCATAGAATGCAATCAGAATGTTCACTCCAGCGAGTAGATTTTGTGAATAGTAGCTTCTGGACTACTCAGGAAGTTTCTATCACTTGTGAATCATTCTTTCCTCTTTCTGCCTGTTTGTTTACCTTCCTCCAATATTAATAAAGCATCTGCTATGTTTAAGTCATGAGCTAGAAGCTGGAGTTGAAGAAAAGAGAAAACCTTTATCCAGTTAACATGCTCTCCCCTTAAGGCAATGCCCTCACTAACAGTGTTTCCCTTCTCCTGCTTCGTAAAGCCTCTGTTTTGTTGACTTCTCTGCCAAGAATTCCCTGTTACTCCTCTCTCATCCATTTATTGCATTTCCATTGTCCTGGCCTGATATTGTGCTAAGCCAAGCACTGATGCCAAAAAGGAGAGGGCCAGTGGAGAAGGATTCATGCCCAAAGATCCCTGGAGCCCCTCTCTTGAGGATCTCCCAACAGCCTAGACACAGTAGAACAAAATTTCACTAGCAGCTGCAGCAGTAGTTCACGGCCCTGTAAGAAAGTGACATCTCACTCTTTCATTCACAATGCTTCTCTGCTCTCTGTTTCTCATAGATTTTAGTTTGCCTGCCTCCGGGACTCAGATGCTTTCACAGAATTGATGCAAACCCCTGGGAAATTTATTTGTCCTCTGATATCATCCATGCTAATGCTCCTCTCCATTAGCTCAGATAATCAAGAGTTGACTACACATAGAACTGTGGAGGATTACAAAAGCACTTATAATCTAATGAGAGAGAGTGGAAAGATACTGAAGGAATTTAAAAAGAGAGAGAGAACAGAAAGAAAGCCACAATTGTATACAGAAACCAACTTATAATGCCCTAGCTAAGCACAAAAATTAAAGGGGAAATGTATGGAATAGCTGAAATGAATACCACTAAGACTGTAACAGTGTCCCGGTGCTATTGGGGGATAGCAAGCCATATTACAAATATGGGTCAGGTTTAGAAGAGAGGTTCCATGGCATTTGAGGGGAAGGGAAGTAAGGTAATTTTCATTCTAGTTGTTGACTCTGATCTCTCTCAAATTAGTTTTCTTACATAAAAGGCTAGTTTTAGACTGTACATTATGTTGCGTTCACATGGAAATCAAGGTATAAGGCAGGGCTAGTTATCAATATTAGTAGTAGCCCAGCCATAATATATTATGGGCAGTTACATCTAGGAAATTAAAGAACAGTGCCAGTTAACAACATAAGTACACAGACCTACCTCATGTTGGTAGCTGCGTCCCAATAAGTGCCAGATTTGCCTCCATTATTCTTGGACATCAAACTACATCAATATTTTATACCAGTAGCATGGAAGAAATCATAGCCCTCACCAATGTAATGAAAGAGAAGGAATTTGGTAAATTCTTTTTTTTTTTTTTTTTTTGGAGACAGAGTCTCACTGTCACCCGGGATGGAGTGCAATGGCATAATCTCAGCTCACTGCAACCTCTGCCTCCTGGCTTCAAGCAATTCTCCTGCCTCAGCCTCCCCAGTAGCTGGGATTACAGGTGCCCACCACCATGCTTGGCTACTTTTTTGTATTTGTAGTAGAAACGGGGTTTTGCCATGTTGGCCAGGCTGGTCTAGAACTCCTGATCTCAGGTGATCCACCTGCCTCAGCCTCCCAAAGTGCTGGGGTACAAGCATGAGCCATTGCACCCTGCCAGGATTTGGTAAATTCTAATTTCTCTTTAAAATCTTATTTTTTAATGTAAGATAGCAGGATAGGGCATTGAAGTGGTTCATTGCAAATTAAATTTAGTAATAGTGTCCACCACAACAATGGTTCCTTGTATGACCATGAAATTAACATATTACCCAGATTTCAGAATAATGTTTGTGATAAGTGACTTCATAAATGCAATTTTGGGCCAAGTGCAGTGGCTCACACCTGTAATCCCAACATTTTGGGAGGCTGCAGTGGGTGGATTTCTTGAGTTCAGTAGTTCAAGACCAGCCTGAGCAACATGGTGAAACCCCATCACTACCAGAAATATGAAAATTAGCTGGGTGTGGTGGGCACCTGCTATTTGGGAGCTATTTGGGAGGCTAAGGTAGGAGGATGGCTGAAGCCTGGAAAGTCGAGGCTGCAGTGAGCCATGATTATGCCACTGTACCCCAGCCTGGATGGCACAATGAGACCCCGTCTCACACACACACACACACACACAGAGGCACACACACAAAAGTAAAGAAAAGCTATTTTTTCCTCCCCAGTCATGATTACTGGTCAGTTTACGTTCACTGAGAAGGTTGTATAGCACACCTTTGTAATATTGCAGAAAAGTACATATCTGCTTACTTTCATGAAGTCACTCACTAAGATTTAGTGGAAATAAATCTAACATCTGACAAGCAGGCCTATCACAGCAGCAATGACTTCTAATGATTGGAGTGACAGAGTCATTAAAAAACTACAGAGGCCCGGCACGGTGGCTCACGCCTGTAATCCCAGCACTTTGGGAGGCTGAGGCGGGCAGATCACGAGGTCAGGAGATCGAGACCATCCTGGTTAATGCGGTGAAATCCCGTCTCTACTACAAATACAAAAAATAGCCAGGCATGGTGGCGGGCGCCTGTAGTCCCAGCTACTTGGGAGTCTGAGGCAGGAGAATGGTGTGAACGTGGGAGGCAGAGCTTGCAGTGAGCCGAGATTGCACCATTGCACTCCAGCCTGGGCGACAGAGCGAGACTATGTCTCAAAAACAACAACAACAACAACAACAACAACAACAAAAACTACAGATAGATTAGAACCACATACAACAAATTCTAAGAGCCACCAACCACTGTTAAGATTATGGTGATTCACTAAACAGAATGAAGTTACTCAATTAAAGCTCAAAAAGAATGTCTGGTCTTAGATGGGTCACCTCACCTATAAAAAGGAGGCACAATCACTTTTAGAATTCTCTGGATATAGGAAAATACATACAGGAGTCTGCATACTAAAATACAGAGAAGACAAATAATTTCTGGAAGAAATAAATTTCAGTCATATTTCCTCCAAGATGGTTTAAACAAGTCCTTTCATCATTCAACTCCTTTAGGTCAAAGGTGGTATAGTACAAGGGGAGAAGGCTGATCTCTCTAGATTATCAGAAGGAGCTCATTTAGAATACACAGGGAGATAGTCTCCTTAAGAGGAGAGTCAAATATTCCTTCTATGATCTAGTCCATGAAAATATTTGGAGTTGGAGGGAAGACTCAGAGACTCCACCCCAGAGAAATACGCATTAAATGACATAGTCTAGTGCTTAAGCACTGGTCTGAGGCTATAGAATAGCAAAGTAGGAAGAGATAACTACAGAGGATTTGGCAAATACAGAATGAGTGGCAAAGAGAGGGTAAAGATATGAGTACTCTAATTATAAGCTTGCTACAGAGGGAAGTAATAACCCTTTAGCAAATTTCACCCCAGGAGACGAGACACGTTTGAGATGAGGAGGAAATTTGTGTTGGTCATCCTGATCATGTTCGGGAAAATCCCCTGATAGTGTTATGGATTGCATGCAGTCATAAACAAGATCCTTGTGATGTTTCTCGGCCATCTCCACACCTGACTGGCCATCTAATAAGAATGTGTACACTGAAAGAGGCTGACAACAAACACTTGAGGAACTGCTTTGGTGGGAAGAGGGAAAATAACTGCAATGTTATAAGCTACAGAGTGTAAAATGCATTAACACACACACTTCAACAGCCTCAAGAGCTGAAAGTTAAACCATTCTAGATTTTGGAAGTAAAATGCTGGATTCCCTTAAAGCACTGGATGTACCAAGAAGATTGTTTCCCTGGGATTTTTTCTCACTAAATCTGGATTTCTTTAGTTGTTTAAAGGTTATTGGAATGGAGTTACATGGTAATTAGTAGCATATTTCTGTGTTCAGATGATTTCCAATGCTTTATTATTTTTAAAATTAAACTTTCTATTTTAAGATAATTGTCCAGTGACACACAGTTGTTAAGAAATGATGTGGGGAGATTCCAGGCACCCTGCACCCAGTTTTCCTAAATGGTAACATCTTGCAAAACTATAGTAAAGTATCAAAACCACGATATTGACATTAACTCAGTCAACATACAGAATATTTCCATAACCAAAAGGAACCCCCATTTCTTTTGTAGCCACAGCCACCACCCTGTACCTTTCCTGTGCCTGGTGCCCATCAACCATTAATCTGCCATTGCTATAATAGCATCATTTCAAGATGTCATATAGATAGAATGATACAGCGTGGAACCCTTTTGGATTGGCTTTTTTCTACTCAGCATAATTCTCTGGAAATTCATTCAGGTTGTTCCACACCTATCAGTGTTTCTTCCTTTATTATTGAAGAGCAGTATTCCATGATATGGATGTACATCAGTTGGTTTAACTGTTTATCTATTCAACCATTAAAGGACATCTAGATTGTTTCAATTTTTGGCTATTACTAACAAAGTTTCTAGCCACGTACAAGTTTTCTGTGAGAACACATTTCCCTTCTCTGGGATAAGTTTCTAAAAGTGAAGTTGCTAGGCAAGATGACAATCACATATTGATTTTTATAAGAAATTGCCAAACTATTTTCCAGACTGACTGTATTATTTCATATTTTCACCAGCAATGTATGAGTTATCCTGTTTTTCTGTATCCTCATCAGCAATTTTTAAACTATTCTAATGGTGTATAGTGACATTGCATTATGTTTTTAATTTGCTTTCCCTAATAATTAATGATGATGAAAGTTTTTTCATGTGTTATTTCCCAACTGCATTTTTTTGATGAAATGTCTATTTACACCATTTGCTCATTATCTAATCTTATTGTTTCTTTACTATTGAGTTTATCTCTTCTAGATACCAGTCCTTTGTCTAATGTGTTCTGGGTGAATATTTTCTTCTGGCTTGTAGCTATCTTTCTATCCTTTTAAGAGTATTTTACAGAGCAAATGTTTTAAAATTTGATGATGCTCAATTTATCAATTTTTATTTAATGCATCATGTGTTTGATGTCATCTAAATAGCCCTTGTCCATGGAATATAGATTCCAAAGATTTTCTGTCTTTTTTTACTTTCCAGCAACCATTGTTACTATTCTTTAAATGAGTGTCCTGTTAACAACACATAGTGGGACTTTTTTTTTAAGTTCTGCCAACCTCTTTCAAGTTAGATATTTAGACAATTTAAGGTAATCATTGATGTGTTAGGGCTTAAGTCTGAAATATTATTTGTTTTCTATTTATTGCCACTGTTTATCATTCCTTTCTTCTCTTTTCTTACTTTTCCATGATTATTTTAACATTTTTTAAGGATTTCATTTGATTTACTTACATTATTATTGAGTTTTAAATTTCTTAGTGGTTGTTTTAGGTATTACAATATATATACAGAACATGATAGTCTACTGTTACTGATATTTTACCAAATTCAGTGAAGTATATTTTGCTCCATAAACATGATGTCCATTTAGCTCCCTTTAACATCCCCTCTTTATAAATATAATTGTCTTAAGTATTTCCTCTACATATATTGAGAGCATCACAGTCACTAGAGTTAAAGTTTTTTATATAATCCATCAAATATAATTTAGGGCACACATAAATTAGGATGTCTATTGCTTTTACCTCTATTTTTACCCATTCCAATGTTCTTCTTTCCTTTTGGAAGTTCCAAGCCTCCTTCTGTTATAATTTTCTTTCTTTTTAGAGAACTTTATTTGGCAATTATTTAAGGGTAGGTTTTCTAGCAATACATTTTCTAACCTTTCCTTCATTTGAAAATGTGTTGATTTATTCTTCATTTCTGATGGATGCCTCACAGTATGTAGAATTTGTGGTTGACGGTTCTTTTCTTTTAGTACTTGAAAAATGTTGTCACCGTCTCCTGGCCTCCAAAGTTTCAAATGAAATAAACGTTGTTATTTTAATTGGTACCCCTCTGTAGACAATACATCATTCCTCTTGGACTGATTTCAGGACTTTTTTTGTCTTGGTTTTGAGAAGTTTAACTATGATGTGTCTTGGTGTGAATTCTTTGAGTTTATTTTAAATGAGTAGTCACTCAGCTTCTTAAATGTATGGGCTTATGTATTTTGCCAAATTTCAGAAGTTTTAAGCCTTTATTTCATCAAATAGTTTTCAATCCCATAGTCTTACTCCTCTCTTTCTGGAATTCCAATGATAAGGATGTTAACATTTCATTATTTCCTCACACGTCCCTAAAACACTATTCATTTTTCCTTAGTTCATTTTCTCTAGGCTCAGATGGTGTAAACGCTATTGTGCTGTCTTCAAGTTACTGGATTCTACTCTCTGTAATCTTTACACCCTAGCAAACCCATTCAGTATGTTTTTAATTTGAGTTCTTATATTTTCAGCTGTACAATTTCCACTTTAAAATAAATTCTACGTCTCTGCTGAAGTTTTCTGTTTTTTATTTGTTTCAAGACAATACTTAATTGCTTGTGAAGCATTTTTATTATGGCTGTTTTAAAATCGTTGTCAAGTAATTCTAATAGCTATGTCATCCTGGTGTTGGCATCTGTTCATTGTCCTTTCTCATTCATGTAGCAATTAAGCTAATTCTTGGTATAATGAATGCATTTTTTGTTGCATAAAGGATATTTTGGATATTCAATTATGATATTCCATATACTATTTGGTCTTTTTATTTAAGCTGGCATTCCACTTTTGATGTGTAGCAAGAGGACCAGGCAGATGTCTATGCTCAGCTTCCCAGGGGGTCCCACTAACTCTATCCTGGGAGAAGTGGGGCAATAACTTACATTGCCTCATTATCTTTCAGTAGAAGTACAATATTAGCTCTCCATTCTGCCTCATGAAATGTTAAAATAATAATATTTAAATATGGGGTTAAATAGAACATACAATTAATAATTTTTTTTTTTTTTTGAGACGGAGTCTCACTCTGTCACCCAGGCTGGAGTACAGTGGTGTGATCTCGGCTCACCGCAACTTCTGCCCCCCTTGTTCAAGTGATTCTCCTGCCTCAGCCTCCCAAGTAGCTGGGATTACAGGTGCCTGCCACCACGCCTGGCTAATTTTTTGTATTTTTAGTAGAGATGGGTTTTCATCATCTTGGCCAGGCTGGTCTTGAACTCCTGATCTCGTGATCCACTCAGCCTCCCAAAGTGCTGGGATTGCATTATTAATTTTTTTAAGCAACCATAGCCAAATTTGTTGTCATTCTTGCCAACTCTTGAACTAAAACCAACTTCTGCTGTCTGACCTAGCTTAGGAACTGTAAACTCACTCAGACCTGGGTAGTAAGGAAGTGGCAATGACCGTCATATTAGTTCATCTCCAAATCTAGAATTTTTTGATTATGTAAAAAGGAGTTCTAGGGTCTCCATGCTCAATTTTCCACTACTAAATATGCCTGCTAGTCAGGCTTTCTGATTATCATGCTCTTGAACATTGTGAAAAGCATCTTCAATTTACCATTTTGGGGCAGGTGCTACTACTTGAATCTGGCATTTAGGGGCTTAATATAAAAATTGAAATATAGGAAACTTTTCAACTGCAGCAACACTTACTGGCCACTAAACTATTTTACAATTACAACCACTAAACTATTTCACAAGATGCTGATGCTTCCCTAACCTGCAAAACTCTCTCAGTGTCTTGGTAAAATAAACATATTCTGAGCCCTTTCAGAAAATATAGTTAGGGAATTGTTCATGCTAAATCCAATCCAATTTTTGTTCTCCCTAAGGCTTTAGATTCCTTCTCTGTATAACACCATGGAATACATGGAAGTTCAAATATTTAAAGTTCCTTTTCAAAGCCAGCAGGATAACATATCTACTGCTTTAATGTCTCTGAATCATTCTTTTTCTAACCTCTAGATCCTCTTTTGAAGGGCTCACCTTATTAAGTCAGGCCCACCTGAATAATCTGTCTTGTATTAACTTAAAGTCAACTGATTAGAGGCCTTAATTACTTCCTTACATATGAAAAGTCCCTTTCTCTTCACCATGTAGTGTGAACTAATCATGGAAATGCTCTTCTATCGTTCTCATATGTCCTGCCCACAATCATAGGTTAGGGATTATATAGGGTATGTACACTAGAAGGTGGGAATGTTAAAGGCCATCCTAAAATTCTGCCTAGCATGCTCCTCAGGTACCAACTATAAAGAAAATCAATGTTAATAGGGAAACACACTTAAAAATAAAAGAAATATATGATTTTTAAAACCAAATATTAAATGACAAACTTCTTGAGTATTACTGAAAATTGACATCATCTGTTAGATAATAAATGCCTTAAGTGGCAATATTAAAAGGGATTTCCTTTGAAGGACTTTTAATTTCTGTTTTGTCCATAAACTTTTCTCTGATTTAAGGTGAGGTGCAAGATACAGACCTGCAACTTTTCAGAATATGATCAAATAATTATATAGTAAAACTTTAAAAATATTTATTATATCTAACCATCTTTGGAGAAACCCATGTGTGCCAGCCTATATTGAATTAATATCTTGTTAAATGTTACATTTACCTAATACCAGAGCTTTATAATATATTAATCAAAAGCTAATATAACTAAAAAAGGAGGTGGGCAAATCCACAATTATATTTATAGATTTCAACACCTGTCTCCTGGGAATGATAGAACAAGTAAATCAGTAAGGTTATGAAAGACCTAACAAACAGTTACAATGAACTTGACCTTATTGGCAATAAATAACACAATACTCATTTTTTTCAAGTATGCATGAAACATTCACAAATGTGGCTATATTCTAGGCCATAAACAAAACCTTAAATTTTTAAAAGACTAGACATAATACAAAGTATGTTATAATTTGATAAAGGAATTAAAGTATGAATCAACAGATATCTGGAAAATCTCCAATATTTGGAAATTAAACAATATCTATCAAAAAATAATCTCATAAGTCAAAAAGAAAGCCTCAAGGAAAATTAAAATACATTCTGCACTGAATGAAATGACAATCCAACCTACCAAAACATGTGAGATATAGCTAAATCATTTTTATAGGAAAATGTACAGCAATAAATGCTATTTTGAAAAATAAGAAAAGTAAAAAATTAGTCATCTTAGCTTTCGGCTTCTGAAACTAGAATAGAAAAACAAAATTAAACCCAATGCAAGCAGAAGAAATGAAATAACATTAACAAAAGACATCAATAAAATAAAAAACAGAAAAACATACTTTGGGAGGCCGAGGCGGGCAGATCATGAGGTCAGGAAATTGAGACCATCCTGGTGAACACAGCGAAACCTGTCTCTACTAAAAAAAAAAAAAAAAAAAAAAATTAGCCGGGCGCTGTGGCGGGCGCCTGTAGTCCCAGCTACTCAGGAGAAAAACAGAGGAAAGCAATAAAAACAAAACTGATTATATCTATAAAACAATTTAAATTAATACTTAAAAATACTTTACCAAAGAAAACCCTAGTCCCAAATGCCATCATAGGTGATTTGTACCAAACATTTGAGGAAGAAATACTACCAATTCTATGCCAACTCTGCTGGAACGCTGAAGAAGAAGAAATGCATCCCAACTCCACTTATGAGGTCAATAATACTCTAATAACAAAAACAGGAAGACAAAGAGCTCCTGCTGATCAAAGCTTGAAAATTTTGAGAAACAAAATTAATAAAGATAGTATTTGATTATAGCCTATATAATAAAATGAATACCCATCATTCCATACTGATATAAATAAACATTTGCACAAATGAGTAAATGAGGGAGAAATGGTAGCTATTCCTTGTAGAATCTTTCCAATTAATAAATGTAGAAAAAATGAGAGAAATGAAAAATCACATTTAAAAACCACAGTAATAACTGTTTCAAACAATATCTATAGATGAATGCTTAATGGGCAAAAGTTAGAGAAGAGGAAAATATTTTTCACTCTCGAATGATCTTCCACCTGATATTTAGTAACTCATAGGCGGAAAATACTAACTTTACAGTTGAGAAGCACAGCAGGCTACTTTAACCAGGTGATCGAGGTTAAATGAGACATAAGATGTATTAACATCATGTACTACTTGACATTATACACTGAGAAAGACACATTATTTCTGTGACATTCTTGCCAAAAATGCATACCTTTAATCAAATCACGAGAAAAGATCAGACGAAACTAAACTATAAGACATTTTGTAAAATAACTAACCAGCACTATTCAAAATCATCGTGATCATGAAAGACAATGAAAGACTAAAGAACTAGGACAGATTGGAAAAGACTAGGAAGACCTGAAACTAAATGCAATGTAGTATCCTGGATTGGGTCCTGAAATAGAAAAAGTGTATTAGTAGCAAACTGGTGAAATACAAATAAAGTTCACTGTTTAATTAAGAGTATTGTACTGAAGTTATTTCTTTTTTTTATTTTTTTATTATACTTTAAGTTTTAGGGTACATGTGCACAACGTGCAGGCTTGTTACATATGTATACATGTGCCATGTTGGTGTGCTGCACCCATTAACTCTTCATTTAACATTAGGTATATCTCCTAATGCTATCCCTCCCCCTTCCCCCCACCCCACAACAGGCCCTGGTGTGTGATGTTCCCCTTCCTGTGTCCATGTGTTCTCATTGTTCAATTACCACCTATGAGTAAGAACATGCGGTGTTTGGTTTCTTGTCCTTGCGATAGTTTGCTGAGAATGATGGTTTCCAGCTTCATCCATGTCCCTACAAAGGACATGAACTCATCATTTTTTATGGCTGCATAGTATTCCATGGTGTATATGTGCCACGTTTTCTTAATCCAGTCTATCATTGTTGGGCATTTGGGTGGGTTCCAAGTCTTTGCTATTGTGAATAGTGCTGCAATAAACATACGTGTGCATGTGTCTTTATAGCAGCATGTTTTGTAATCCTTTGGGTATATACCCAGTAATGAGATGGCTGGGTCAAATGGTATTTCTAGTTCTAGGACCTCGAGGAATCGCCACACTGACTTCCACAATGGTTGAACTGGTTTACAGTCCCACCAACAGTGTAAAAGTGTTCCTATTTCTCCACATCCTCTCCAGCACCTGTTGTTTCCTGACTTTTTAATGATGGCCATTCTAACTGGTGTGAGATGGTATCTCATTGTGGTTTTGATTTGCATTTCTCTGATGGCCAGTGATGATGAGCATTTTTTCATGTGTCTGTTGGCTGCATAAATGTCTTCTTTTGAGAAGTGTCTGTTCATATCCTTCGCCCACTTTTTGATGGGGTTGTTTGTTTTTTTCTTGTAAATTTGTTTGAGTTCATTGTAGATTCTGGATATTAGCCCTTTGTCAGATGAGTAGACTGCAAAAATTTTCTCCCATTCTGTAGGTTGCCTGTTCACTCTGATGGTTAATTTCCTAGTTTCAATGATCACACTTAGGTTATGCGAGATATTGGAAGGCTGGGTGAAATATATAAAAACATTCTGAATTAATTTTTTAACTTCTCTGTAAACCTAAAATTATTTTCAAATAAGAATTTTAAAATTACATACTATATGTCTCATAATATTAATATCATCCTGTTATTTTATGTAACATTAGTTACTACTCTTTTATAGATCCTTGGGTTAGTACAATATTTTTCTATCCCTTAAGGTTGTGTAATAGTTTGCTTTTTGTTTGTTTGTTTAGTAAATTGGGAAATCATTTATTTAACACCATGGAAGTCCTTGCCTGTTCATAGGTTTATTCCACTCCAGAATTCCTAAGGACAATGGGACATGCACATCTGATCTACCATTGAGCCTGATTTTTTTCTTTATTTTTTGTTTCTTTTTCAAGTTTTATTTTAGATGCAGGGAGTACATGTGCAGGTGAGTTACACAGGTATACTGCATGATGCTGAGGTTTGGGGTACAGAAGATCCCATCACCCAGGTACTGAGTATAGTGCCTGTAGTAGTCCATTTTCATGCTGCTGATAAAGATATACCCAAGACTGGGCAATTTACAAAAGAAAGAGGTTAAATAAACTTACAGTTCCACATTTCTGGGGAGGCCTCACAATCATGGCAGAAGGTGAAAAGCACATCTCACATTGTGGCAGAAAAGAGAAGACAGAGCTTGTTCAGGGAAACTCCCCATTTTAAAACTATCATATTTTGTGAGACTTATTCACTATTATGAGAACAGCACAGAAAATATCTGCCCCCATGATTCAATCACCTCCCATCCGGTTCCTCCCATGACATGTGGGAATTGTAGGAGTTACAATTCAAGATGAGATTTGGGTGGGAACACAGTCAAACCATATCATTCTGCCCCTGGACCCTCCCACATCTCATGTTCTCACATTTCAAAACCAATCATGCCTTCCCAACAGTCCCTCAAAGTCTTAACTCATTTCAGCATTAACTCAAAAGTGCACAGTCCAAAGTCAAATCCAAGACAAGGCAAGTCCCTTCTGCCTATGAGCTTGTAAAATCAAAAGCAAGTTACTTCCTAGATACAATGGGGGTACAGGCATTGGGTAAATACAGCTATTCCAAATGAGAGAAATTGGCCAAAACAAAGGGGCTACAGGCCCCATTCAAGTCCAAAATCTAGCAGGGCAGTCAAATCTTAAAGCTCCTAAATAATCTCCTTAGACTCCATGTCTCACATCCAGGTCATGCTGATGCCAGAAGTGAGTTCCCATGGTCTTGGGCAGCTCCGGCCCTGTGGCTTTGCAGGGCACAGCTTCCCTCCCAGCTGCTTTCATGGGCTGGGATTGAGGGTCTACAGCTTTTCCAGGTTCACAGTGCAGGCTGTCAGTGGATCTACCATTATGGGGTCTGGAGGACAATGGACCTCTTCTCACAGCTCCACTAGGTGATGCCCCAGAAGGAAATCTGTGTAGGGGCTCCAACCCCACATTTCCCTTCTGCACTTCCCTAGCAGAGGTTCTCCATGAGGACCCCGCTCCTGCAGCAAACTTCCACTTGGGCATCCAGGCATTTCCACACATCCTCTGAAATCTAGACAGAGGTTCCCAAGCCTCAATTCTTGATTTCTATGCACTTGCAAGCTCAATACCATTTGAAAGCTGCCAAGGCTTGGGGCTTGCACCCTTTGAAGCCATGGCCCAAGCTCTTTGTTGGCCCCTTTCAGCCATGGCTGGAGCAGCCGGGACATAGGGCACCAAGTCCCTAGGCTGCACACAGCATGGGGACCCCAGGCCCAGCCCACAAAACCATTTTTTCCTCCTGGGCCTTTACGCTTGTGATGGGAGGGGCTGCTGTGAAGACCTCTGACATGCCTTGGAGAAATTTCCCCCATTGTCTTGGGGGTTAATATTGGGCTCCTTGTTACTTATGCAAATTTCTGCAGCTGGCTTAAGTTTCTTCTCAGAAAATGAGATTTTCTTTTCACATTGTCAGGCTTCACATTTTCCAAACTTTAATGCTCTGCTTTCCTTATAAAACTGAATGCCTTTAACAGCACCCAAGTCACCTCTTGAATACTCTGCTGCTTAGAAATTTATTCCACTACATATCCTAAATCATCTCTCTCAAGTTCAAAGTTCCACAAATCTCTAGGGCAGGGCAAAATGCCACCAGTTTCTTTGCTAAAACATAGCAAGAGTCACCTTTGCTTCAGTTCCCAACAAGTTCCTCATTTCCATCTGAGACCACCTCAGCCTGGACTTTATTGTCCATATTGTTATCAGAATTTTGGTCAAAGCCTCTCAACAAGTCTGTAGGAAGTTTCAAACTTTCCCATAATTTTCTCTCTTCTTCTGAGCCCTCCAAACTGTTCCAACCCTGCCTGTTACCCAGTTCCAAAGTAGCTTCCACATTTCCAGGTTTTTACAGCAGCACCCCACTCTCCTGGTACCAATTTACTTTATTAGTCCATCTTCACACTGCTGATAAAGATATAACTGAGACTGGACAAATTACAAAAGAAAGAGGTTTAGTGGACTTACAGTTCTATGTGGCTGGGGAGGCCTCAGAATCAATGGTGAGGGGTGAAAGGCATGTCTTATGTGGCATCATACAAAAGAAGAGAGAGCTCGTGCAGGGAAACTCCCTTTTTTAAAAGCAGATTCCATGAGGCTTATTCACTATCATAAGAACAGCATGGGAAAGACCCACCCCCATGATTCAATCACTTCTCACCAGGTTCCTCCCACAACACATGGGAATTGTGGGAGTTACAGTTCAAGAAGAGATTTGGGTGGGGACATGGCAAAACCATATTATACTCAACTGTTAGTTTTTCAATCCCTGACCTCCCTTCCTCCCTGCTCTAGTAGTTTCCAGTGTCTATTGGTGTCATCTTTATGTCCAGGGTACCTAATATTTAGCTCCTACCTATAAGTATGAACATGTGGTATTTGGTTTTCTGTTCCTGAGTTAATCTGTTTAGGATTAGGGCCTCAGGATGCATCCATGTTGCTGCAAAAGACATGATTTCATTCTGTTTTATGGCTATGTAGTATTTCACAGTGTATATACCACATTTTCTTTATCCATTCCACCATCGATAGGCACTTAAATTAATTACATCTCTTTGCTATTGTGAATTGTGTGGCGATGAACACAAGTTCATGTGTCTATTTGCTAGAATAATTTGTTTTCCTTTGGGTATATACCCAGTAATGGGTTTGCTGGGTTGAATGGTAGCTCTGTTTAAAGTTTCTTTGAGAAATCTCCAAACTGCTTTCCACAGTAGTTGAGCTAATTTACATTCTGATCAAAAATGGATAAGCCTTCTGCTTTCTCTGAAACATCACCAAAATTTCTTGGTTTTTTTTTTCACTTTTTAAAAATAGCCATTCTGATTGGTGTGAGATAGTATCTCGTTGTGGTTTTAACTTTCATTTATCTAATGATTAGCAATGATAAGCATTTTTTCATGTTTTCTGGCTGCTTGTATGCTTCTTTTGAGAAGCATCCATGTATTTTGCCAACTTTTAATGGAGTTATTCGGTTTTTGCTTGTTCAATGGTTTAATTTCCTGAATATTAGACCTTGGTTGGATGCACAGTTTGTGAATATTTTCCCCCATTCTGTATGTTATCTGTTTACTCTGCCAATAGCTTGTTTTGCTGTGCAGAACTCTTTAGTTTAATTAGGTCCCACTTTTCAGTTTTTGTTTTTGTTGCAATTGCTTTTGAGGACTTAGTCATAAATTCTTCCTAAGGCCCATGTCTAGGATGGTGTTTCCTATGTTTTCTTCTAGGATTCTAATAGTTTGAGGTCTTACATTTAAATCTTTAATCCATCTTGAGTTAATATTTGTTTATGGTGAAAGGTAGAGGTCCAATTTCATGCTTCTGCATATGGCTAACCAGCTATCCCAGCACCATTTATTGAAGAGTGAATCCTTTCCTCATTGCTTATGTTTGTTGACTTTAGCAAAGATTAAATGGCTGTAGGTGTGCAGCTTCATTTCTAGGTTATCTATTCTGTTCTTTATTCTATTCTGATCTATGTGTCTATTTTTGTACCCATACCATGCTGTTTTAGGTAGTGTAGCCTTGAAGTATAGTTTGAAGTCAGGTAATGTGATGCTTCTGGCTTTGTTCTTTTTGCTTAGGATTGCTTTGGCTATTTGGTCTTTTTGTTGTTGTTGTTCCATGTGAATTTTGAATAGCTTTATCTAATTATGTGAAAAGTGACATTGGTAGTTTGATAGAAATAGGGCTAAATCTGTAGATTGCTTTGGGCAGTATCGACACTTTAACAATAGTGATTCTTCCAATCCACGAGCATGGAGTGTTTTTCCATTTACTTGTGTTATCTATGATTTCTTTCTGCAGTGTTTTGTAGTTTTCCTTGTAGAGATCTTTCACCTCCTTGGTAGGATGTATTGCTAGGTGTTTTGTGTGTGTGTGTGTGTGTGTGTGTGTGTCTATTATAAATGGAATTGTGTTCTTGATTTGCCTCTCACTTCGAATGTTATTGATGTGTAGAAATGCTACTAATTTTTATACATTGATTTTGTAACCAGGACCTACTGAAGTTGTTTATCAGTTTCAGGAGCCTTTTGGTGACATCTTTAGGCTTTTGTAGATATAGAAATATATCATCTGCAAAGAAAAATAGTTTGACTTCTTCTATTTCTATCTGGATACTTTTTATTTCTTTTTCTTGTCTGAGTGCTCTGGCTAGTACTTCCAGTACTATGTTGGATATGAGTAGCGAGAGTAGGCATCTTTTTCTTGCTCTTGTTCTTAAGGGGAGTGCTTACAGTTTTTGCCAATTCAGCATGATGCTGCCTGTGGGTTTTTTCAAAGATGGCTCTTAACTTGAGGTAGTATAATATTTTGAAAGTGGTTGTCATTGGCAGTATGATGATGATGATGATAATTCTATGAGAAACAGTTAATCAGCTCAATTATTCTTTAATGTTAATACTGAGTTGAACATCTTCTAAAGTAAAAGTAAGAAAATCATTTTTTAATACTTAGATCTGATTATCTCATCTTTCTGATAGAATAAATCCAGCATAAAAGACCATGGGAATTGTATGGGGGAGCAGGGTAATTCTGATTTTTCCTAGATGCTATAGCATCACATATGGTACAAGCTAGAATAAAACGTAAAGGATATGTCCAGAGGCAGAGAACTACTGAATTACAGAGCTATGGTTTATTGAGCCACCTATCCTGCCCCCATCCCCTGGCATCACATCCAGGATTTTTTTTTTTTTTTGACAATTCTTTGTTGCATCCCTTACAGGAAATTTTATACAACATTTTAGATATTTCAGTTGGATTGTTTTAATGGAAGTAATAAAATTTGAATTAATTTTGAATTTTGTAATTGAAAAACATGGAAAATGTTTCTTCAATGAAATTTCCTTGCATAACCTCTCAGATGGTTTTGCCATCACCAGTTTTACCGAAAACATCTCCCTGTTGGAAGCTGTAATCTGAACAGATGAAGCACCTTTCAACCGGAGTAATTAGCTCCCAGTGTTATAAACCCTTTGTGCCCAACACATAACCAAGCCTTGTCATTAAAATACAAATTGCCTTTCTCTTTTTGATCTATTTTGAAAGGGAATTGCAGACCCAACAGCTGACTAGGAGGCAGGGTGTAAAGGAAATCAGAGTGGAGAGGAATGTAGTCCTGGAAAGAACCATCTCCTCCCTAAAAATGGGATCTGCTTTGAGGATCAGGCTGGAAAAATGATGGAGATTAAGCAATACATGGGGATGGGACTAGAAAAACAAGAAACAATTGAAGCAAGAGCTGCTTCCCATCCCTCCTTCTTTGGCTTTTTTTGTCCACTTTCAATGATGAGTTTTGTAGCACTAGATGGCTTTGCAGAGCAGAAAAAACCTAAAACAATCACCATGGAATGTCTTTTGTCTTACAAGACATTTTCAGTGCAAATAACTTCAGGACACACACATCTCAAATGTTAAATTAAAGGCCTTTTATCCTTTGCTGCCACCAAGATCCCCCAGTTGTACATAAATGAGAACTGGAAAATACTGCCTAGTGGACCTCTTGGGCAACCTGAACTTCTGAAAAACAATAACTACAAAAGATGTTTCTTTCGTATGATCTGTGTTTGATCTCCTAAATAATGTTTCACTACCAGGGGTTTGGCAAAGGGTCAGGAAATGTGTATAATTTAAGGAGAAAATTTGGAAACAACAAAAAGAATCCCATGATACCCTGAAACAACTGCTGCAAATTCCAGTGATCAAAACACGGTTTAAGTTACAGCAAATAATCTTTATTTTAAATGTTTAGTTTCCAAAGAAATGTAAGCTTTCAGACAAAGGCAAGCAGCCATTTGCAATTAAACCATACCATTTCATTTTGCAGATAATACTGAAGAAGTCCTGAGACAATAAGATACATACGGATGTCAAAAAGTCAGGTTCTTCCTCATGCTATTAAATTTTTGAGAATAAGCTTTTAAAAATCTAGTCTATCACTTCTTCAATGTGACTTTCAGAAATGTATTCAAATCTTCTAAATTCTTTCTTTTATTTCAGGTAATTCATTTGAAATAAGAAACAACTAGGCAATTACACATAATGATGTGTATTCCATATTCTTGAAGTGTACCACTGAGTTCATTTCACCTCAATCTCACCCCACTCAAAAAAAAAAAAATCCACTGACTTTTTAACCTTTATTCAAGGGTCCTTTTTTCTTTCAGTCAATCACTATGGATACTAAAACCTGTGTCCTCACTCTTAGAAAGATACTAATAAAAATTTTTCTTTTATTTAAAAACTTGTCTAAAACCAACATGGTCAAAGAAGTTTAGCCTAAAAGGCTGAGTTGTATTTTTAGGCACTGTTAGTTGAAATAATTCTCTTTATTATAAGTCAAGTCCATCACACCTTCATTTGGTGTCATTCAAGAAGCTGCAATCGTTAGCACGCAGACTCTGAAGGATCAGATTTCTGGGGAAAAAATGGGTTACGTGGCTTGGCTTGATGCACAGCAACGCCATGCTCACTGAGTAAAGAATAACATGGAATCTGTGTGGTCTGTCATGCAAAGCAAAGACACACACACACACACACACACACACACATATACATATGTATATATAACACGAAATTCATGGCCATGTTTTGGAGGAATGCCAAGCCCACAAAATAATATCTTATCTGTCTTTATATTGACCATTCACAATTATAGAACACATGCAGTGTAAATCAGAAAATAAAAATATTTTATTGAAGATCAACAAAATAAATACAAAGTTATTATATGTTCATAGTAAGGAAAAAAATCTTCTCTATACTCAGCAGTCACAATGCTAAATCTAAATGTGTACTGCTCCTCCTTTCAAGAGCCACAGAAATGATTTTCTCCACATTTCTTTCATAGGTCCACTTTTTCAACTTCATTATTATGTGTTTGCTATTTTAATTCTGACTCCTCAAAGAACGTATGTTTCCCTTAGGTGTCACTCCAAAGCATAATCTATTGCACTTCTAAACCATGAAACATAGTAATTCTTTAACCAGATGGCTTTTAGTAACTGAAATGAGATCCCAGGAGTAAAATTCCTTATATTCAAGATCCGTTTCCTTCTCAAACTTACGGTATAATAAGATATGAAAGTATGATGAAAGTAAATGCAATTGTGAGAAAATGATTTTTTTAAGTAGTGAGAAATTCCCTATAAAATAAACTCTCATAGGAATTCCTAAACTCAAAATAAGAATTACTGGTTTACAAAGAACTCACTCTTCTATCTATGCTTAAGTGAAAAACGGTGCTATGTTAAAAGATGCAAATACTTGTTAGTTAAATTTGTCATCATATGTTGCTGCTTTGTATGCACCATCTGTTTTTTTTTTTCTACTTTGAATTAAGTTCGGGGTGAGTATAATTTAAATGTGGCTAAGTTTGACAGACTGCTTCCCCTTAAGTTATCTTTGTTTTTATGGTGCTTTCCAATTTAATAGTGAATAGATATCCTTACTCATATTTAAAGAACTAATTTTAAAGAAGAATAAAGGATTTATTCACCTTTAATATTTGATCTAAAGAAACCTTTTATATGGTGTATAAAGATGACTACATTTAATAAGATTTCCCTTAGGTGTCAATTATTTTAAATCCAGATTTTACTTATTTCTAGAAGAATGTGGTGGTTATTTAGACCATGAGCACCTTTAAAGAGATCAAAGGCCTTTAGAAGACTAATATATGAAGTAGAAATAAACTTTTCTTTTTCAATGGTTCTGAGAAGATCCTTTTCAAATCAAAGGCAGCAGAGCCTACTACTGGCATAGCTGTTGAAACTTTTCTCTAGTCAAATAATTGGATGTTGCTTGGAGCTAAAATTTTACAGGAAAAAAGCAATGTCTAGATATACAAATAATACAAATTTTCAACCAGCTTTTAAAGCCTAGCGATTTATTGCAATAGGGTATTGTGATCTATTTAAAGATCAACATTAAGATGGTCCCATCATAAAATGGCATTTTGGAGACATATTTTTAGGAATCTGTAACTCTTCTGAACAACTAAGGAGCAGTTGTGAGATAAATCAGCCAAGTTGCTGGAATGTCCCATGGAAGGAAATTTTAAATGAAGGTTCAGAAGCTTTGCCATCCTCTCTTAATTGGAAGGACTGTGTTTTACAAATGGAGTGATGAATGTGAATGTAATCAACAAATATGTATTATTTCTTATTATTCTATCAAGAAAAATGGCACAATAATTTACCTTAGCTTTGGCTTTGAAAACAGGGTATCTCAGTTTCTTATGGCGGCCGTAAAAATTACCACACACTAGGCAGTTTAAAACAACAGAAATTATTTGCTCATATTATGGATGCTAAAAATCTGAAATTAGTATCACTGTGCCAAAAATCAAGGGGTCAACAGGACTGCGTTACCTTCAGAGGCCTTAAGAGAGAATCCATTCCTTGCTTCCTTCAGCTTCTGTTGGCTTCTAGTGTTCCATGGCTTGTGGCTGCATCACTTCAATCTCTGCCTCTGTGGTCACATTGCCTTCTTCTCTACTGTCTATTTTATATCTCCCTCTATTTTCATTTTAAAAGGATATGTATATTTCATTTAGGGCTAGCTCCATAATCCATGAGAATCTCCTCAACTCAAAATCCTTAATCACATTTGCAAATTCCTTTCCCCAGCAAGGTTGCATTTATGTTACAGTGGTTAGGATGTGAATATCTTTGGGGGACCATTTCCAGTCTCGACGGAGAACTAAAATATATATTCTAAAAATTCATAATTATAAACTGATACTTATCTGATTTAGGATCTGAAAAAATTTAAGCCAAAACTTAATTTAGAATTATCACAAGGTAGGACATTTAGATATTGACCAAAGTAAATACAAATCCTCTCTGAGAGAATGTACCCTTTTTCTAAGACCCACAGGGGAGGAAAAAAACATGAATGAAAATTGCCTCTGAAGAAAAAATACAAGCGCACAAGTAAACCACATTATAAACAAACATTTACAGGAAAAAAAAACAATAAAATCAGACTCATAAAGATTTCAGTATAGTAAAATCCCTCCAAATGTTTCCAAAATAGTGTAATTTCCTACTTAAAGATATTGGTGATTGGATCCCAAGACAAACATTGTGAGCTAGTTACAATGATTCAATCCAATCATTCTGTTTGTTTTGTAGTAGCACAAACTCACACTTTTCATTATAGAATTTTTTAACACTACTCATATTTTTATGATGGGGCCTTATTAAATTAGAATTTCTGGATCGAAAATAAAAATATGTTTAATATGGCTAAAAAAAGAAGAATCAAAGTCATCAGAAAAAAAGCAGCTATAAAAATGATGAAGATGTATTTTTAAAGTCATAGAAATTTTAAAAACAAAGTGTAATCTTTGCAATTTAAAAGTAAATGGAGATGGTAAGTAGCAAATTAGTCTACCATTACAATAGCTAACACTTAAGGAAGATTGACTATGTGCCAGACACACTTCTAAGAACTTTACATTGATTTTAAAAATTAATGCTTATATCAACCCATGAAGTATGCATGTATGTATTATTATTGTCATTTGACATATAAAGAAAATGGGACAAGAGATTAAGAAACTTGCCTAAATTATAAAAGTACTAGGTTGGGGATGTCCAATGTTTTGGCTTCCCTGGACCACGTTGGAAAAAGAAGAATTGTCTTGGGCCACATATGAAATAGACTAACACTAACAATACCTGATGAGCTAAAAAAATGCAAAAAAAAATCTCGTGCTATCTTAAGAAAGTTTATGAATTTGTGTTAGGCTGCATTCATAGCTATCCACATGCCACCTACAGGCTGCAGGTTTGACAAGCTTGTACTAGATAATGGAATGAAAATGAAAACCTCAGTGATCTGCGTACATAGGCCACTCTTCACTGGGATATTCTACTGACTTTGATTAGCACAGCTAAAGAGAGAGCTCCAGAAGAGGGAGGCAATCAAGGATAATAATAGTGTAGAAACTAAAAGAAGGAAATTATGAAAAAGAGATAAGAAACAAAAGATAAAGTAAGATGGTTTAACATACATCTAATTGGATTTCAATAAGGAAAGACTAGAGAAAATGGAGAAAAAGTAATGTTCAAATAGACATTTTTTGAGAATTTCAACAAAATGGATAAAATATATGAGTCCATATATTCAAGAGTTACAATCAATGGGAAACCGAACAAACAGAAGAAACCCTTACGTACACACATATTCATAAAATGCAGAAGACCAAAGAAAACAATCCTTCAAGAATAAGGATGAAATAGAGACATACTCAGACTAAAAGGAACATAAAGTGCTTAATAACTGCAAAAATCCAGCAAAAAAAAGTTGCAGAGGTTATTATTAAGGGAGATAAAAAAAAATCATGCTAGAAATCAATTTAAGAACCAAGTTAGACCCATAGGGAAGAACAAAAAATTTATTATGGAGTTTCTAAAGAAGAAAATATTTGTAGGTTCACAATATAGGACAAAGAAAACTCTAGAGAGAGAAATATGGCTATGACTTTTGGAACTACTTTTCATTCAAAGTAATTGCAAATTCCAACAGTGATAACTGAAAGCTAAGAAACTGAACAAAGTTTTTTGGTAGATACATAGAGTTGGAGTAGAAAATTGTGAACTTTTAGAATAGAAAAGAAAAAAGGACCTTGGTAAACACTAAGACTTTTAGTTGGACCCAAAACCATTGTGCTCTAGGAATAGAATGAATACCCTCACCACAGCAGGCAGACTCCTGCTGCCTTGGCCACTGAAAATCTCTGAAGTCGTCACCAATGCTGGCCTCAACTGACAAAGCTACATATAGACTGTATCACTGACTCTCACCAGAGCTGGACCAGCTGCACCCTACCCAGGTGACACCCTTGCCCCTGCCCATAGGTAAAGGACTTTCTCCACCAAAATAATTCACAAAGGTTGGAAGGGCCAGCTGCTCCCACAAATCCACAATCATCAACACAAGCCTACAAATACACATACACACAATCAAGAAAACATGACACCACCAAAGGAACACAGTGATTTTCAAGTAACCAACCCAAAGAAATTGACATTTTAGATTAGCTTGAAAAAGAATTCAAAATTATCATTATTTTAAAGCTTGGTGAAATATAAGAGAAACGGATAGACAACTAAACCAAAAATCAGAAAAACAATACATGAACAAAATGAGAAGTTCAACAGAGATAGAAACTGTGATATTGTAAAATATATATTTGGTCTTCATCTCTATCTCCTGGTTTAAGGTCAATATTCATGATGAACATAGATGTAAGAATTCTCACTGAAATACTAGAAAACTTATTTTAACAGTACATTAAAAGGTTCATATACCATGACAAAATGGGATTTATCCCTGGGATGCAAGAATGTTTCAACACATGTAAATCAATCAATGTGATACAACACATTACAAAATAAAAGAGAAAACTCATGATCATCTCAAGAGACACAGGAAGTATTTGACAAAATTCACTATCCATTCATGATTAAAACTCTCAACAAAATTGGTACATAAAGAACTTACCTAGCCACAATTAAGGCCATATATGAAAACCCCACAGCTAACATAATAATCAGTGAAGAACCACTGAAACCTATCCCTCTAAGGTCTAACACAAGATAAAGGTGCCCACTTTGCCATTTTCTTTCAACATAGCACTAGAAGTCCTAGCCAGGGTAATTGGACAAGAAAAAAAAAAGCATCCAAATCTGGAAAAAAACTGAAGTAAAATTATCTCTCTTTGCAGATGAAATGATGATACACATAGAAAATTATAAATTCACAACAAAAATCTGTTAGAAATACTAAACGCATTCAATAAAATTACAAAATACCAAATCAACATACAAAAATACATTACCTTCTATAAACAACAAACTATCTAAAAAGGAAATCAAGAAAATCTCATTTACAATAGCAACAAAAATAATAAAATACTTATGAAAAACTCAACCTAAGAGGGGAAAGACTTGTATGCTGAAAATTATGCAATATTGATGAGGTAAATTTAAAAAGACATAGCTAAACAGAAAGACATCCTAAGTTATAGAGAAAACAATGTTTAAATGTATGTGTAAAAGACTTTGAATAGCCAAAGCAATATTGAACAAGAAGAACAAATCTGGAGACATCATATTCCCCGGTTTCAAAATGTATTACAAAGCTACAGTGCTCAAAACAATATGTTACTGGCATAAAAACAGACACATAGGTCAATGGGACAGAAGAGACCCCAGAAATAAATCCACACATCTGTGGTCAACTGATCTAGAACAAAAGTGATAAGAAAACACCACGAGGAAAGAATTGTCTCATCAATGAATGATGTTGGGGAAACTAGACATTCACATATAGAAGAAAGAAATTGGAGCTTTATCTTACACCCTATATAAAAATCAACTCAAATGGATTAAAGACTTAAACATATGTTCTGAAACAATAAAATAATTAGAAAAAAACATAGGATAAAAGCTTATTGATATTGGTTTTGATAATGATCTTTTGGATATGACCCCAAGAGCATATGTAACAAACGTAAAAATAGAAAAATGAGATTACATCAGACTAAAAAGCTTCTGCACAACAAGGAAAACAGCAGAGTGAAAATCACCCTATAGAATGGAAGAAAATGTTGGCAAACCATATAGCTGATAAGGGGATAATATCTTAAGTATTTATGGAAGTCAGAAACTCAATAGCAAAACAACCAAATAACACAACTTAAAAATAGGGAAAGGATCTGAATAGGCATTTATCTAAGGAAGACTTATAAATGGCTAAAAATGTAATATATGGAAATTTGCTCAAAATAACTATCAGTAGGAAAATGAAAATCAAAACCACAATGATACATTACCTCACACCTGTTACAGTGGCTATATCAAAATTACAAAAGATGACAAGTGTTGATCAGGATGTGGAGAAAAGGGATCCCTTGCACACTGTTGGTGGGGATGTAAATTGGCATAATCATTATGGAAAACAGTATAGAGACTCCTGAAAAAATTAAATATAAACTGCTTTATTTTTAGCAATCCCACTTCTTGGTATGTAGTCAAAGAAAATAAAATCAGTATCTTGCAGAGATAACTGCAATCCTATGCTCATTTCAACATTATTGGCAACAACCAAGACATGGAAACAACCTAAATGTTTGTTGATGGGTCAATCAATAAAGGAAATGTTGTATACACATATACAGCAAAATATTATTCAGCCTTAAGGGAGGAAATCTGTGACAACATGGATGAATTTGGAAGGCATCATGCTAAGTGATATAAGCCGGATGTAGAAAGACAAATGCTGTATGATTTCATTTGCCTGAGGAATCTAAAAATGTCAAAGTCATAGAAACAGAGACTGTGATAGTGGTTACCGTGGTATAAGGAAAAGAATGTGTGGGGAGATATTGGTCAAGGGATTCAAAATTTAAGTTATGCAAGGTAAATGAGTCTTGGAGATCTAATGCACAACGCTGTGACTATAGTTAACAATATTTTAATGTATGCTTGAAATTTGATGAGGATTGATCTTAAATATTCTTACCACATACAAAAAATGGTAACTATGTGAGTGTGTTAGTCCATTTTCATGCTGCTAATGATGACATACCCAAGACTGGGTAATTTATAAAGAAAAAGAGGATGGTTTTTGTTTGTTTTTTTGTTTTTATTTAAGATGGAGTTTCACTCTTGTTGCCCAAGCTGGAGTGCAGTGGTGCAATCTTGGCTCACTGCAACCTCCACCCCGCAGGTTCAAGCGATTCTCCTGCCTCAGCCTCCTGAGTACCTGGGATTACAGATGCTTGCCACCATGCCTGGCTAATTTGTTGTATTTTTAGTAGAGGCAGGGTTTCACCATGTTGGTCAGGCTGGTCTCGAACTCCTGACCTAAGGTGACCCGCCCAACTTGGCCTCCCAAAGTGCAGGGATTACAGGTGTGAGCCACTACGCCTGGCCAGAAAAAGAGGTTTAATGAACTCACAGTTCCATGTGGCTGGGGAGGCCTCACAATCATGGTGGAAAGAAAGGAGGAGCAAGTCACATCTTATGTGGCAGCAGGGAAGAGAGAGCTTATGCAGGGGAGCTCCTCTTTCTAAAACCATCAGATCTCATGAGGCTTATTCACTATCATGAGAACAGCACAGGAAAGACTCACCCCCATGATGCAATTACCTCCCACTGGGTCCTTTCCATAACAGGTGAGAATTGTGGAAGCTACAATTCTAGATGAGATTCAGGTGGGGACACAGCCAAATCATATCATTGAGGTGATGGATATATTAGTTAGCTTGATTGTGGTAAATATTTCACAATGTATACATATATCAAATTATCAAGTTGTACAACTTAAATATACAATTTTTAACTGTCAACTATACTGCAATAAAGTGGAAAAAAACTAAAAACACGCCCATTCAAACAGAAAATTGTGCATATTTCCTTAGCATCATAAAATACCTATGCTTCAGACATACATGCAGCCGACAAGCATACAGAAAAAGCTCAACATCACTTATCATTAGAGAAACGCAAATCAAAACCACCATAAGATACCATCTCACACCAGTCAGAATGGCTATTAATAAAAAGCCAAAAAATAACAGGTGCCACTGGTTGTACAGAAAAAGGATTATACACTGTTGGTGGAAATGCAAATTAGTTCAGACACTGTGAAAACAGGTGGAGATTTCTCAAAGAACATAATACAGAATTACCATTCAACCCAGCAATCCCATTACTAAGTATATGCCCTAAGGAATAAAAATTGTTCTAACTTAAAGACACACGCATGCATATGTTTACTGCAGCACTATTCACAATAGCAAAGACATGGAATCAACCTAAATGCCCAAGAATGGTAGACTGGATAAAGAAAATTTGGAACATATACACCATGGAATACATGCAGCCATAAAAAGGAGCGAGATCATGTCCTTTGCAGGAACATGGAGGGAGCTGGAGGCCATTATCCTTAGCAAACTAACACAGAAACAGAAAACCAAATACTGCATATTCTCCTTTATAGTGTATCTAATTCTTCCTGACTCAAGCTAGGAAGATTATATATTTCCAGGAATTTATCCACCTCCTCTAGATGTTCTAGTTTATGTGCATAAAAGTGTTCATAGTAGCCTTGAATGATCTTTTGTATTTCAGTGGTGTCAGCTGTAATATCTCCTGTATCATTTCTAACTGAGCTTATTTGGATTTTCTTTCTTCTTTTCTTAGTTAATCTTGCTAATGGTCTATCAATTTTATCAATCTTTTCAAAGAATCAGATTTTTGTTCCATTTATCTTTTGTATTTTTTTTAATTTCAATTTCACTTAGTTCTGCTCTTATCTTGTTTACTTCCTTTCTTTTGCTGGGTTTGGGTTTGGTTTGTTCTTGTTTCTCTAGTTCCTTGAAGTGTGACCTTAGATCGTCTGTTTGCGCTCTTTCAGACTTTTTGATGTAGGTGTTTAGGGCTATAAACTTTCTTCCTCGCATCACCTTTGCTGTATGCCAGAGGTTTTGATAAGTTATGTCACTATTGTCATTCAGTTTGAAGATTTTTTAATTTCCATCTTGATTTCATTGTTGACCCAATGATCATTCAGAAACAGGTTATTTAATTTCCATGTATTTTCATGGTTTTGAAATTTCTTTTTGGAGTTGATTTCCAGTTTTATTCCACTGTGGTCTGAGAGCATGTTTGATATAATTTCAATTTTCTTGAATTTATTGAGGCTCATTTTGTGGCCTATCATATGGTCTATCTTGGAGAATGTTCCATGTGCTGATGAATAGAGTGTGTGTTCTGAAGTTGCTGGGTAAAATGTTCTGTAAATATCTGTTAAATTATTCATTCTAGGGTAAAGTTTAAGTCCACTGTTTCTTTGTTGACTTTCTGTCTTGATGACCTGTCTAGTGCTGTCAGTGGAGTATTGAAGCCCCCCACTATTATTGTGTTGCTGTCTATTTCATTTCTTGTATCTAGTAGTAATTGTTTTATAATTTGGGGAGCTCCAGTGTTAGGTGCATATATACTTAGTATTGTGATATTTTCCTCTTGGACAAGGCATTTTATCATTATGTAATGACCCTCTTTGTCTTTTTTAACTCCTGTTGCTTTAAAGTTTGTTTTATCTGATATAAGAATAGCTACCCCTGCTAGCTTTTAGTGTCCATTTGCATGGAATGTCTTTTTCCATCCCTTTACCTTAAGTTTATGTAAGTCTCTGGAAGGGAAGAGATAATTGTATAGTAAAGTCTTATCCATTCTGCAATTCTGTATCTTTTAAGTGGGGCATTTATGCCATTTACATTCAACATTAGTATTAAGGTGTGAGGTACCACTCCATTCACTGTGCTATTTGTTGCCTGTATATCTTGGTTTTCTGTTTTTGTTTTTTAATTGTATTTCTGTTTTGTAGGTCCTGTGAGACTTATGCTTTAAAGAGGTTCTGTTTTGATGTGTTTTCACAATTTTTTTCAAGATTTAGAGCTCCTTTTAGCAATTCGTGTACTGCTGGCTTAGTAGTGGCAAATTCTCTCAGTGTTTGTCTGAAAAAGACTGTATATTTTCTTCACTTATGAAGCTTAGTTTCACTGGGTGCAAAATTCTTGGCTGATAATTGCTTTGTTTGAGGAGGCTGAAGTAGGGCCCCAGTTGCTTCTAGCTTATAGGGTTTCTGCTGAGAAATCTGCTGTTAATCTGACAGGTTTTCCTTTATAGGTTACCTGGATTTTTTGCCTCACAGCTCTTAAGATTCTTTCCTTCATCTTGACTTTAGATAACCTGATGACGATGTGCTTAAGTGATGATCTTTTTGTGATGAATTTCTCAGGTGTTCTTTGAGCTTCTTGTATTTGGCTATGTCTCTAGCAAGGCCAGGAAAGTTTTCTTCGATTATTCCCCCAAACATATTTTCCAGACTTTTAGATTTCTCTTCTTCCTCAGGAATGCCGATTATTCTTAGGTTTGGTCATTTAACATAATCCCAGACTTCTTGGAGGCTTTGTTCGTATTTTCTTAATCTTTTTTCTTTGTCTTTGTTGGATGGGTTAATTCAAAAACCTTGTCTTTGAGATCTGAATTTCTTTCTTCTGCTTGTTTGATTCTATTGCTGAGACTTTCCAGAGCACTTTGCATTTCCATATGTTCATCCATTGTTTTTTGAAGTTTTGATTGTTTTTTCTTTATGCTATCTATTTCATTGAATATTTCTCCTTTCACTACTTGTGTCATTTTTTTTTTATTTCCTTACATTGAGTTTTGCCTTTCTCTGATGCCTCCCTGGTTAGCTTAGTAACTAGCCTTCTGAATTATTTTTCAGGTAGATCAGGGATTTCTTCTTGGTTTCGATCCATTGTTGGAGAGCTAGTGTGATTTTTGGGGGGTGTTAAAGAACCTTGATTCATCATATTACCAGAGTTGGTTTTCTGGTTTCTTCTCATTTGCGTAGGCTATGTCAAAGGTTTAGGGCTTAAGGCTGCTGTTTAGTTCTTTTTGTCCCACTGGATGTTTCCTTGATGTAGTACTCACCCCCTTTTCCTAGGGATATGCCTTCCTGAGAGCCAGGCTATAGAGATTGTTATCTCTTTTCAGTATCTAGCCACCCAGCAAGTCTACAAGGCTCTGGGTTGGTCCTGGGGATTGTCTGCTCAGAGTCCTATGATGTGAACTATCTGTTGATACCAGCTATGTGAACTATCAGCTATGGATACCAGCACCTGCTCTGGTGGAAATGGCAGGGGGGTGAAATTGACTCTATGAGGGTCTTTAGCTTTGATTGATTAATGCACTATTTTTCTGCTGTTTGGCCTCCTGCTGGGGAGTGGCGCTTTCAAGAGAACATCAGCTGTGGTAGTGTGGGGAGAAACAGGCAGTGGGTGGGCCCCAGAGCTCCCAAGAGTATATGCCCTTTGTCTACATTTACCAGGGTAGGTAAAGAAGAACCATTAGGTAGGGGCAGGGCTAGGCATGTGTGAGCTCAGACTGCCCTTGAGCAGGTCTTGTTGTGGCTGCTGTGGGGGACTGGGGTTAGGCTTTCAAGTCAATGGAGTTATATTCCTAGGAGGATTATGGCTGCTTTTGCTGTGTCATGCAGGTTGTGAGGAAAGTCGGGGAAAGCCGGCAGTCACAGGCCTCACCCAACTCCCATGCAACCCAAAGGGCCAGTCTCCCTCCCATCATGCCCCCTCCAACAGCACCAAGTCTCTTTCCAGGAAGTGGGTGAGTAGGGCTGTGAACTTGCCCCAGGCTACTCCCCTCCAGCTGTGAAAATAAGCAGAGCTTTCCTTCTTCCCCCTGCCTGTGGAGTCAGCACACTGGATTCACACCCTTCCCCGATTTCTGGCCAGGAGACTTCTCAATTGGTTCAAATTGTTACAAAGTTTGGCTGAAAGTTTCCTTCTCCCTGTGGCCTTTTCCCAGTGCCTCTGGCAGCCCTCCTCAAGGAACCCTGTCAGGTGAGGCAGAAATGGCTTAGTAGAGGAGCCAGTGAGTCCACAGGGATTTTCCCACTGCTTCCTCTACACCTGTATTTTGCTTGGCTCTCTAAATTAACTCAGCTCCAGGTAAGGTCAGAATCTTCTCCCATAATCCAAACCTTCAGGTTCCCCAGTGGGGGTGTGTGTTCAGGGGCAGACGATCTCCCTTTCTCATTTCCACAGTTTGGGCACTCACAGTATTTGGGGTGTCTCCCAGATTCTGCAGGAGCAATCCACTTCCTTCAGAGGGTCTATGGGTTCTCTTGACTTTCCTCATGTACTCCTGAAGTTGTTCTGCAGCAAAAGTTCACAATGCGAGCCTTCACATGCTGTTCCATCTATCCAAGTGGGAGCTGCAATTTAGCCCTGCCTCCCGTCCACCATGATCCCCTACTAATCTGTTCTCACTTATAAGTGGGAGCTAAATGATGAGAACACATGGATATGTAAAGGAGAACAAAAGACACTGAAGCACAGTGGAGGGAAGAGGGTAGGAGGAGGGAGAATATCAGGAAAGACAACTAATATATACTAGGCTTAATACCTAGGTAATGAAATAATCTCTACAACAAATCCCTGTGACATGAGTTTACCCATATAACAAACTTGCACATGTACCCTTGGACCTAAAATAAAAGTTAAAAAAAAAAGTAAATCTATTCTTCATTCTTAAAGCCGACCTCTTGCTTAATGAATAAACTCAATTGGCATTCCAACTGAGATCTTTTATAAAGCAAACACTCCCATGTCACCACATTTTACATTGTTTGGAAAGGAAAGGTGGGCTTCATCTCTGGGATGCAAGGCTGGTTCAACATATGCAAGTCAATAAACATAATCCAGCATATAAACAGAACCAAAGACAAAAACCACACGATTATCTCAATAGATGCAGAAAAGGCCTTTGACAAAATTCAACAGCACTTCATGCTAAAAATTCTCAATAAATTAGGTATTGATGGAACGTATCTCAAAATAATAAGAGCTATTTATGGCAAACCCACAGCCAATATCATACTGAATGGGCAGAAACTGGAAACATTCCCTTTGAAAACTGGCACAAGACAGGGATTCCCTCTCTCACCACTCCTATTCAACATAGTGTTGGAAGTTCTGGCCAGGGCAATCAGGCAGGAGAAGGAAATAAAGGGCATTCAATTAGGAAAAGAGGAAGTCAAATTGTCCCTGTTTGCAGATGACATCATTGTATATTTAGAAAACCCCATCGTCTCAGCCCAAAATCTCCTTAAGCTGATAAGCAACTTCAGCAAAGTCTCAGGATACAAAATCAATGTGCAAAAATCACAAGCGTTCTTATACACCAATAACAGACTAACAGAGAGCCAAATCATGAGTGAACTCCCATTCACAATTGCTTCGAAGAGAATAAAATACCTAGGAATCCAACTTACAAGGGATGTGAAGGGGACCTCTTCAAGGAGAACTACAAACCACTGCTCAACAAAATAAAAGAGGACACAAACAAATGGAAGAACATTCCATGCTCATGGATAGGAAGAATCAATATTGTGAAAATGGCCATACTGCCCAAAGTAATTTATAGAGTCAATGCCATCCCCATCAGGCTACAATTGACTTTCCTCATAGAACTGGAAAAAACTACTTTAAAGTTCATATGGAACCAAAAAAGAGCCCACATTGCCAAGACAATCCTAAGCCAAAAGAACAAAGCTGGAGGCATCACACTACCTGACTTCAAACTATACTACAAGGCTACAGTAACCAAAACAGCATGGTACTCGTACCAAAACAGAGATAAGACCAATGGAACAGAACAGAGCCCTCAAAAATAATGCCACATATCTACAACCATCTGATCTTTGACAAACCTGACAAAAACAAGCAATGGGGAAAGGATTCCCTATTTAATAAATGGTGCTGGGAAAACTGGCTAGCCACATGTAGAGAGCTGAAACTGGATCCCTTCCTTACACCTTATACAAAAATTAATTCAAGATGGATTAAAGACTTAAACGTTAGACCTAAAACCATAAAAACCCTAGAAGAAAACCTAGGCAACACCATTCAGGACATAGGCATGGGCAAGGACTTCATGTCTAAAACACCAAAAGCAATGGAAACAAAAGCCAAAATTGACAAATGGGATCTAAATAAACTAAAGAGCTTCTGCACAGCAAAAGAAACTACCATCAGAGTGAACAGGCAACCTACAGAATGGGAGAAAATTTTTGCAATCTACTCATCTGACAAAGGGCTAATATCCAGAATCTACAATGAACTCAAACAAATTTACAAGAAAAAAACAAACAACCCCATCAAAAAGTGGGCAAAGGATATGAACGGACACTTCTCAAAAGAAAACATTTATGCAGCCAACAGACACATGAAAAAATGCTCATCATCACTGGCCATCAGAGAAATGCAAATCAAAACCACAGTGAGATACCATCTCACACCAGTTAGAATGGCAATCATTAAAAAGTCAGGAAACAACAGGTGCTGGAGAGGATGTGGAGAAATAGGAACACTTTTACACTGTTGGTGGGACTGTAAACTAGTTCAACCATTATGGAAGACAGTGTGGCGATTCCTCAAGGATCTAGAACTAGAAATACCATTTGACCCAGCCATCTCATTACTGGGTATATACCCAAAGGATTACAAAACATGCTGCTATAAAGACACATGCACACGTATGTTTATTGCAGCACTATTCACAATAGCAAAGACTTGGAACCCACCCAAATGTCCAACAATGATAGACTGGATTAAGAAAACGTGGCACATATACACCATGGAATACTATGTAGCCATAAAAGGATGAGTTCATGTCCTTTGTAGAGACATGGATGAAGCTGGAAACCATCATTCACAGGAAACTATTGCAAGGACAGAAAACCAAACACGGCATGTTCTTACTCATAGATGGGAATTGAACAATGAGAACACTTGGATACAGGAAGGGGAACATCACACACCAGGGCCTGTTGTGGGAGAGGGGAGAGGGGAGGGATAGCATTAGGAGATATACCTAATGTAAATGACAAGTTAATGGGTGCTGCACACCAACATGGCACATGTATACATATGTAACAAACCTGCACGTTGTGCACATGTACCCTAGAACTTAAAGTATAATAAAAATAGAAAGAATTGTTGCATAGAATCAGAGATTGCAAATATTTAAAAAAAAGAAAAAGAAAGGAAAGGCCAGTGCAATCAGGCAAATGATAACCGTTAGTGGTGTAAAAATTGTAGATGGTATAAATGTATATGTAGAAAACCCAAGACTTTTTATTTAAAATGATGAAAAACAATACCAAAATTCAGGAAATTAGTATGCTAGTGGCATCCAACTACAAGAGACCAATCGTCTTTACATACAGAAACAATAACAAGTTGGAAGATATGAGTGAAGGGTAAACACCATTTACAAAAATAGCAAAAAATATTTCATATAATTAGCAGTAATTATTCTAAAATTATGTAAAGAAAATGTTTAAACATTCTTAGAAAACAGGAAAGCAAACCTAAAAGTCTTGAATAAAGTGCTTGAATAAGATGACTCGATATCATGAAAATTCTCCAAAATTTAACATATAAATTATCACAATCCAAACAGGTCTTTTAATTTCTAAAAGTATAAACATGGATTTTAAAGTTTATATTAAAAATATATAAATTCAAAATAACTTCAAAGAAAATTATATATGTAGGTTTTACAAAATATGTGTAGGATTTATATATTTAAAATTTTTAAATGCCACTAAAGGAAATCAAACGTGAATTAATAGAAAGATATATCACTGTCATAAATTGGAAAACTCACATAGGGAAAATGTTCATTTTACCCAAATTGATCTATCAGTTTAATACAATTCCTCTCAAAATTCCAGCAAGCTTTCTGGGAGACAGACAAGCTAATTCCAAAGTTTATATGCAAAGATACAAGCCCTATAATAGCTAAAACAGCCTTTAAAGAAGAAGAAGAAAATGATAGGAATGACTGTAACCATTATTAAAGCCTACTATATAGCATAGTAATCAAGACAATGTGGTATTGAAAAAGGGATAGACACATACATCAATGGAACAGAATAGAGAGGACAGAAATAGTACTACACAAATATGTCCAACTGATTTTTGACAATGGTGCAAAACCAATTCAATGAAAAAAGAATAGTCTTTTCAACAAATGGTGCTGGAGCAATTGGACATTCATAGGGGAAAAAATGGACCTCAACCTAGACCTCACATGTTATACAAAAATTAACTCAGACTTAAAGTTTAAACATAAAACTTCAAAACTTATTTTTAAAAGTAGAATATATGTGGAATCTAGAAATAGACAAGTAGTTCTTAAACTTACCAAAGCTTGATGCATTAAAAAAATTGACAAATTAGACATCAAATTTTAAAACTTTTGCTTTGTGAAATACCTCGTTAAGGATAAAAAGACAAGCTGCAGATTGGGAGAAAATATATGCAAATTGCATATCTGTCAAAGGTCTAGTATCTAGAATAATAAAGAACTCTCAGAATTCAACAGTATAAAATAAACAATTCAAGTAGAATATGGACAAAAGATATTAATAGACATTTTATCAAAGAGGATATGCAGATGGTAAATAACACATGAAGAGATTTTCATCATTATACATTAGAGAAGTGCAAATTAAAATCACAATAAGATATCACTACATATCTATCAGAATGCTAAAATAAGAAAAATTGTGACATCAACAAATGGCAAAGATGTAGAGAAACTGGAGCACTTATATATTGCTGGTGGGAATGTAAAATGGTACAGACAGTCTGAAAAACATTTTGGAAGTTTCTTAAAAAATTAAATTTGCAACTACCATACATCCCAGCAACAGAACTCTTTGGCATTTATTCCAAATAAAGGAAAAACTGTGCTTACACAAAAACACACACAAATGCTCATAGCACTTTTATTCATAATAGACAAAAACTGAAAATAAAGCAGAAGTCCTTCAATAGCTGACTTGTTAAAGAAACTGAAGTACATTCATACTATTATATACTTCTCAGTAATAAAAAGAAGCAAACTATTGATATGTGAGATGCCTTAGATGAATCTCCAGGTAATTAGGTTGAGTAAAATAAAAGTCAACTCCAAAAGGATACATGCCGTATGATTTCATATATGTAAAATTCTCAATATTCCAAAATTATAGAAATGCAAAATATGACAGTGGTTGCGAGGGATTCAAAACTAGGTAGGGGAGTGTGGTGGTTGTAGCTATAAAAAAGGCAACACCAGGACTCCTTCTAGTGATGGGACTATTATGTGTCTTGACTGTATCAGTGTTAATATCCTGGTTGTGATATATTTCAGTGGTCCCCAACCTTTTGGCACCAGGGACCAGTTTCATGGAAGAAAATTTTTCCATGGATGGGGTGGTGTGGGGGGCAGTTTCAGGATGAAACTGTTCCACCTCAGATCATCAGGCATTAGAATCTCCTAAGTAGCCACAACCTAGATCCCTCGCATACACAGTTCACAATAGGGTTCATGCTCCTGTGAGAATCTAATGCTGCTGTTGATTTGACAGGAGTTGGAACTCAAGTGGTAATGCTCATTCACACACTGCTCACCTCCTGCTGCATGGCCCAGTTCCTAACAGGCTGTAGACTGGTACTGGTTTATTGCCCTGGGGTTGGGGACTCATGATATATTATACTATAGTTTTACAAGATACTACAATTAAGGGAAATGAAGTAAAGGGTACATAGACACTCTCTTTATAATTTCTCTAAATTTTATTTAAATTTACTATTATCTCCAAAAGT